>NC_000023.11:36648191-36798548 GCF_000001405.40 Homo sapiens
AAAGAGAAAAAGAAAGAGAAAAAGGAAGAGTGGAAGAGAAGAAGGGGGAGAACAATATGCTTATAGGCAGGGAGAAGAAAATTAAAGTAATGATAATAATACAAAAACATTATTTTTAGGAAAATGACAAAATACTGTATTCATTGAAGAAGCAGTAGATAGTATTAAAATTAAGAAAAAAACCAACTGACAGGCTAGAATGATATCTTGGAAATAAAATTGAAATGCTAATAAAAGCTTAGGGGATAATTTCAAGACAATACCTCAAAGCAGAAAAAAATGAGAAATAGGACAAAAAAACTTTAGAAAATTAGAGGATAAGTAAGAGATGAGTAAAATCTAAATAACAAGAGATTCAGAAAGAAACAGTGAGAAAAAATGTCAGAAAATTATTCTTGAAATCTTCTAAGAAAACTTTCCAGAAGTAAAGAACATGAATTCCTCAGATTGAAAGTGCCTGCTTAGTAAGAGCAAAATAATAATAAAAATACACAATCATAGAAACCTACACTAATGATAAAGAGAAAATCTTAATATATTCCAGGGAGTTGGGATACTAAGGATCAAAGATCAGAATGGCATTGGATGCCTCGCTGACAAAATGGGAACCTACAAGATAATGAAGAAGTATTTGCACATTTTAAAGCACAAGTTATTTCCAAACTAAAATATTGTACACAACTGAACTATCAAACATGAAAATATAATAAAGGCATTTTAGAGTGTGAATGGACACTCTATAATGGGTAAAGAAAGTTACTGGAGGAAGTGCTCCACCAAATGTTAGGAAGTAAATGATGAGAGGGGAAAACATGGAATGTAGGAAATAGGGATACAACACAGATGAGTGGTTACTAAAATTCTCAGGCTGATGCTGAAGAAGAAGGAGATGGAGACAAATCCAAGAAAAGTGTGAAATTAATAGGTAGCTGATGTATTTAAATACTTGATTACAGGTTTTGAGTTCTATTTAAAAAGACTGAAGATAAGATAATATGAATGTATTTAAGTAAGCATGTGACTATATTGTAATGAAGCGGATCTTATAATTCAAGTCTACACTAAATTTTCAGGGTTTTATATATAGAGAGAAACAACTCTCCTCAGGAAACCCTTTGCAAAGAAGAAATGACCATTTGGTTATTCACTTATTCAACAAATGCTAGTGACGTCCTACTATGTATCAGGCACTCATCTAGGTGCTGGGGATATAGGAGGGAACAAAACAGACAAAAATCCATGTCCTATGGAGCTGGCAGTCTAGTGGGGAAGAAGAGAGAAAACTAACAAAATGAATTAACAAAGTAACAATAGATGGTGTCAAATGCTAACAACAAAAATAAAGAAAACAATGAAGATGGCTAATGAGTGCAAAAACGTAGTTAAATAGAATGAATAAGATCTATTATTTGATAGCAGAACAAAATGACTATAGTCAATAATAATATGTTGTATATTTTAAAATTACTAAAAGGATGAAATTGGAATGTTCCTAATACAGAAAATGATAAATGCTTGAGGTGATAGATATTCCAATTACCCTGCTGTGATTATTCTACATTGTATGTTTTTTTATCAGAACATCACATGTACCTCATGAATATATACACCTATTATGTACCCATAGTAACTGAAAATTAAAAATAAAGCATCTTTTAAAGTTAGGGAGTGCCAAAAGGGTGGAGTAGAGGGAGAAAGGGTAGGTCTTAACAGAACTGCCATTGATGGATAAGGGGGCCTGCAAGGTTGTTCCAAAAGAAGAGTCAGCCCATTGCAGAACTGTCAGTTATCCTGTCCCACGAATGATTCGAACCACTTGTCATAAGGTCTGAGAAAGTCTAGTGAGTCCCACAACTGATTGTGTAGTGGTCTTTTCACCACCACAGCTGATTAAATTAGCATCAACTACAGACATTTATTTGACCATTTCATAAGAGCAAGTTTTTTGGGTAGTGCTCAGACAATTGAATTTAGCTTAAATAATTTTGGTTGATGCATTATTTTGAATTGGTAATAGTTTTTTATCAGGGTTTTTCAAATGGGCATTGTAGCCAACAGATATGAATTTAAAATTCTTGCTCTGCCACTTACTCTCAGTGATTTTTCCAAGGGTCATACACTTGGTTTCTCAGGTTGCAAAATCTGACACGGAGTTTAGCAGACAGGATAGTTAGTAAGGAGTTCCCTGGGGATCAATACCTGGGGAAAGGAAAAGAAAAAAACTGGAAAGAAGAAAAAGTCAAGCTTCAGTCTCAATGGGCAGTCTCAGTGGAGGCCCCAACCATTCCCATGGAGAGCTTAGGAGCTGGGAAAATTTTTCCCGGTTGCCCCAACATGGGCCAAGACAGATACATTTTCTATTTACTTTCTTTCATGTATTTCAATGGAGATTTGTCAAATACAGAAAAACTATGTGATTGATAGAACAATAATTATGAAAACATATGGGTATAAGTTTTTGGCATGGATAGAAATATTGTTAAGCATTCTGTATAACACGAAGGTAACAAAAATAAGATTTCCTTTTTACAGGAGAGGAGATTTTCCAACGGGGAACACACCCGGATGAGAAACTTAGTCATGGCCAGAATTTAAAAGCTGCCCTGAGTGCATTCAGATATTCAAAATTATTTTTAGGCTTCATTGTCTCCCTGACAATGCCTTTCTATTTTGAGGTCATAAGAAGTTTGGAAGCCATCCTTTATAGTGGTTGCATTTTAACTTGCAGTTTGTAAAACACATATTTTCAGATACAAACAAGGCTTTTGTAATCAACATGCAGTTTTAAAATGTGGTTTTGTTTTCAGTTGTGGGTGTTCAGTTGGACTGTTTTGTTGGCTTCCTAAACTGTCAATCCCTTCTCCAGCTCTCCACTGATGTCATATCTACCCTTTAAAGTGTAAGGACTGACTATGCCTTAAGCAGAAGCAATTTCCCAAATGAATGAACTTCAGACCACTTAGCATGACTTCCCAGACCCTGGATGCCCCTTGGGCCTCATCACCTGCAACTGCCCCACTTTCACTCTGAGAGCCAAGTCCCTGCCAAGGTCCCTGCATTGTTTGTAGTTGCATATGCTTTATTTTATGCCTGGAATTTATTTCAATTGTTTCTTTCCTGTGAACTCCTTCCCAACTCAAAAATCAACTCAAATATAATTTTCCCAATGAACATGTTGCTGAGTATCTCAGAAAAGTGTTTTCATGGCCTTGCTGTGGTCCTATAGCATTCACATACACAAAGCCATTACAGTTGTGATCGAATGTGCTGTACTTGTTTAAATGTTTTAAAACATCTTTCTATGTATTTGGAAGTGTCCTGAGAGTACTATATTCCATCCTCATGCCCAGGTCAGTTCATGGAAAACACCAGGCATTCAATGAATAATTGTGAATAAATAAGTGAATCAATCTTCATTATATAATGTTCAAGAACTTATTCTATAGGCCAGGGGAACATGGATTTAGGAAATACACTATGTGTTCTGTTCTAAATTTCTCCTGCAATAATTTAAGATTACTTACACTTTAGAAGTATACCCCCATTGTAACATACTAAGCATTTTACAAGTGAAAGAGTAAATGTTATCACAATAAGTTACTCTCACAACTTCGTAATCATTTTCATTTTAATGTTGAATGTATTAGTCCATTCTCACGCTGCCATAAAGAACTGCCTGGGATTGGGTAATTTGTAAAGAAAAGAGATTTAATTGGCTCACAGTGTCACATGGCTGAGGAAACCTCAGGAGACTTACAATCACGGCAGAAGGCACCTCTTCACATGGTGGCAGGAGAGAGAATGAGTGAAAGCAGGGGAAATGCCACACGCTTATAAAACCATCAGATCTCGGGAACAGCACAGGGAAAAACCGTCCCCATGATTCCATTATCTCCACTTGGTCCCACCCTTGGCACGTGGAGATTATTACAATTCAAGGTGAGATTTTGGTGGGGACACAGAGCCAAACCATATCATTAAGTATGGATTCAGTTTTTAAAAAAAATGATTCCAAAAGTGAACCCATTTTGTTTTTTAAAAAAAAAATGGTTCCTCAAAATAAATTGAAATGATAATATATTTAAACTCTGACCCATGCAATGAGAAGTAGGGCTAAATTAAAAACTGTACTCGTTAAACTTAAGCAATGTAAGAATCTCAGGTTTTTATAAATTCTAGAGGCTTAAGACACATTAAATTCTACCCCTGTAGGTGTTTTATGTGCTAAATCAAATTTTATATGGTGGCTACTCAAGAGAGCTCCCAGTAAGAACTGTACTATTTCATTTTACTCCATTCTTCATTTACTTCCTAACAATGAGAAATCAGAAGTAAAGAATAAAGAAAAAAGGGAGAGAATGAGCAAAGAATAGTGAGAAATTACCCTGGCAAAACGAACACCTGGGATAATTCAGTGTCTCAGACAGAGCTATGTAGATTTTAAAAGTGTATAAATTTGAAAAATAAAGATTTTACAGGAAAAGTATCCAAGTTCTGGAACAGTAGAACTGAAATTCGTTTTAATGTTCCAATAATAAATGGCATATTACTCCCCATCAGAATTTTGGAATATAAAATGACCAAGACCAGTTATAACACTAAATAACACAATGGCATGAAAACCACATCAGCCAGCAAGACGGTGAGAGCTCATAAAGATCACCATGCTCCCCTGCTGCCTTTCCACCAAATGCAAATCAACAGAAAATGGCATTTCAACATTGCACTCCAGAAAATATTAAATATGAAATTATTCCTGATGCTGGAAGTAAGTGGGCTTCATTGACTTTTTCCCCTGACTTTTTCCTCACCTTTTTTCAGGGTTTATGGCAGAGACCTCTATAACAGAAGACAGATTAACAAGAGGAAATCGTACATATGTATTTAATGTGAGTTTTATTTGACATGGGAGGATTCAGAAATGAAAACCCAAAGAAACAGAGACCTGTTTATTTTTATCTTTGGTTTGATGAAGAGTAGACAGTCATACATAAGTATGGATTGGACAAAGAGGGTATGATCTAATGGCTAATAAACTGGGAGGGGCTTAGCAAGGCCTGTTTGTTCAGATTCTTCTCTGTGTCCCTGTGCTTCCAGAGACAAAGATGTTCTTTTCCTCCAGGTATAGGGAGGGCACCTCTGGAAAAAAGATCTTATAACTTGCTTCAGAGAAGGACAGGAAAAGGTTAAAAAAAAAATGACCTTCTTAGATTGTACTGTTTTTTTTTTTAAACACCAAGGTGCCATATTTTGGGGCAGCATGCTCCAAATCCCATTAATGTCAGATCCACGTCCATTGTAGAAACATTAAATACTGCCATGAAAGATTTGGAAGGTATAGTTCTCAATAAAGTGTTCCCAGTTGCAAACTATTATGTAAAACACTGATTCTCAAATTTGGCTGTGCATTAGGATTACCTGGAGAGTTTAAAAAACTATGGCTGACAAAACCCCATAACTAGTCACTGTGATGTAATGGTGTGGGCAGTGACCTGTAGCATACGGATTTATTTATTTATTTATTTATATTTTACTTTAAGTTCTGGGATACATGTGCAGAAGGTGCAGGTGTATTACATAGGTATACATGTCCCTTGGTGGTTTGCTGCACCTATTGACCCGTCCTCTAAGTTCCCTCTGCATGCCCCCCCACCCCTCAACAGGCCCTGGTGTGTGTTGTTTGTTCCCCTTCCTGTGTCCATGGGTTCTCATTGTTCAAATCCCACTTATCAGTGGGAATATGTGGTGTTCAGTTGCGGTTCAACTTTTATTTTAGATTCAGGGGCACGTGTGCAAGTTTGTTACATGGGTATATTATGTGATGCTGAGGTTTGGGGTGCAATTGATCCCATCGCCCAGGTACTGAGCATAGCATCCAATAATTTTTCAACCCTGTCTCCCTCCCTTGCTGCCACCTCTCATAGTTCCCAGTGCTTTTTGTTCTCATAAGATTATATTTCTTATTTCATCAAAAAATAGTGAGAGTTTGCATTCTGATTAAATTGCCAGGGTCAATTTGGGTCACCAATTGATGTTGAGCCATAATCATTCTATTCACCGAGTGCTATTCATTTTGATAGTGAGTGTCTATCCTTATTTTATCAGAATTTCACTCAGCTACAGACACTGAGATTGATCAAATTGTAGGTTTGGGCATACCTAGCTTCTGATCTTGATTAGATGTTGACCAAAGTTGGTAATATATTAGTCTCATACCCAGATCTGGCAAATATCTTACACCTCTATGCCTTGCATGTGATATGTCAATGGTGCTCCGGCTGCAGGCTCCCTACATTTGAATTTAAAAGACAAGAGTTGGTATCTGCTCTAGTATTCCATTTTGGATGCTAATTTTCCTTTCTTCAGTTAAACATTAATGGACCATAACTCTAATTCCTCAGAGATAGCTGTTCAGCCTCACCCCTCTTCACAACTCTCTGACTTCAGTCATTGGAGTAGGGATGCTGAGGCACATCATGTACTTCCGACAATTTTAGACAAGACTTCTGTAACATCCGTGGGGTAACGGCCTGTAGCATCTCTCCAGCAGTCTTTCAATGGGAAGATCTAAAGAAATAATGCCTTAGAAGCACTTCACAGGAGAGCCAGATGAGAGGACAGCCCTTCTACGGTCCCATCCTAAGTGATTGAATCACTAGAAAACAATACAGGATTGAAGATTTTCTGTACTACATGTATTTTGCCTCATTTTCTCATTGCTAAGTCTCCCCTCTCTTTTTCCTGCCTCTGCTTACCTCCTCCAGGACACTTTCCTGATTTCTTTTTCTTTTCTAATTGATACATAACACTTGTACATATTTATGAGGTCGTATGATTTTTTCATTTTTTCAATATATGCACACAATGTGTAATGAACAAATCAGGTTCATTGTGATATATCATTTATTTGTGTTGGTATCATTCTAAAATCTTCTAGTTATTATAAAACATACAATAATCCATCTGGTCCTGGACTTTTTTTTGGTTTGTAAGCTATTAATTATTGCCTCAATTTCAGAGCCTGTTATTGGTCTATTCAGAGATTCAACTTCTTCCTGGTTTAGTCTTGGGAGGATGTATGTGTCGAGGAATTTATCCATTTCTTCTAGATTTTCTAGTTTATTTGCGTAGAGGTGTTTATAGTATTCTCTGATGGTAGTTTGTGTTTCTATGGGATCGGTGGTGATGGGGGAGGGATAGCATTTGGAGATATACCTAATGTTAAATGACAAGTTACTGGGTGCAGCATACCTACATGGCACATGTATACATACGTAACTAACCTGCACGTTGTGCATATGTACCCTAAAACTTAAAGTATAATTAAAAAAAAAGAAATTTAGCAGAAATCAAAAAAATTAAATAAATAATAAAATATACAATAAATGCTTTTTAATTTTTTAAATTTTACTTGTATGTACAAAATAGGTATATATATTTATAGGGTACATGAAATACATTGATACAGACATGCAATCCATAATAATCATATCATGATAACTGAGGTGTCCAACCCCTCAAGCATTTATTCCTTGTGTTAGAAATAATCCAGGCTGGGCACAGTGGCTCACACCTGTAATCCCAACAGTTTGGGAGGCTGAGGTGGGTGGATCATCTGAGGTCAGGAGTTCGAGACCAGCCTTGCCAACATGGCAAAATCCCGTCTCTACTAAAAATATAAAAATTAGCCGGGTGTGGTGGCACGTGCCTGTAATCTCAGCTACTTGGGAGGCTGAGGCAGGAGAATTGCTTGAACCCACAAGGCGGAGGTTGCAGCGAGCCGACATGGAGTCATTGCACTGATAGCGCCATTGCACTCCAGCCTGGGCGACAAGAGCGAAACTCCATCTCAAATAAATAAATAATCCAGTTATACTCTATTATATATTTTAAAGTGTACAATTAAATTATTATTGACTGTAGCCACCCTGTTGTACTATCAAATACTAGGTCTTATTCATTCTTTCTAACTACTTTTTGGACCCATTAACCATCCCCACATTCCCCCAATTCCACTACCTTTCCTGGGCTCTTGTAACCATACTTCTACTCTCTACCTTCGTGAGTTCAATTATTGTAATATTTAGCTTCCACAAAAAAAATGTGAGAACTTGAGAAGTGTGTTTTTCTGTGCCTGGCTTATTTCATTTAACATAATGATCTCTAGTTGCAGCCATGTTGTTGCAAATGACAGGATCTCATTCTTTTTATGGCTGAATAGTACTCCATTGTGTATAAGTACTACATTTTCTTTACCCATTCATCTGTTGATAGGCACTTAAGTTGCTTCAAAATCTTAGCTATTGTGAATAGTGCTGCAAAAAGCATGGGAGTACAGCTATCTCTTTGATATACTGATTTCCTTCAAGCATGAAGTAATTTTTCACCAGATATACTATTCTAGGGCAAGTTTATTTATTTATTTATTTATTCTTTCAACATTTTAAATATGTCATGCCACTCTCTCCTGGCCTATAAGGTTTCCATTTAAAAGTCTGCTGCCAGACATATTGGAGCTGCTTTGTATCTTATTTGTTTCCTTTCTCTTGCTGATTTTAGGATCCTTTTTTTATCCTTGACCTTTGGGAATTTAAATACTAAACACCTTGTGATAGTCTTCCTTGAGTAAAATCTACTCGGTGTTCTATAACCTTCTGGCATTTAGATATTGATATCTTTCTCTAGTTTGGGGAAGTTCTCTTTTATTATCTTTTTCAATAAACTTTCTAGCCCTTTCTCTCTGTCTTTTCTTTAAGGCCAGTACCTCTTAAATTTGCACTTTTGAGACTATTTTCTAGATCTTGTAGGTGTGCTTCATTCTTTTATATTCTTTTGTCTTTCATCTCCTCTGACTGGGTACTTTCAAATAGCCTAATTTTAATCTCACTAATTTTTCTTTCTGCTTGATCAAATCTGCTGTTAAGAAGAGTGGTCCAAGCATACCCTTTAGCCCCCCAGCTGGTATCTCCCTAGGTCACACACCATCCTACTCCACTGGCTCTAAGCCCAGCCCAGCACTAGGCCTTGTCTTGGAATTGCAGTCTTTTTGTCCTAGACTGCCTTTCAAGTTTACCTAGGATCCCAGAGCACTTAGGTTCCTTGTGGCAAGGTTTGCAAAGAAATTTAATTTCTGAACCCTGCATTGGGTGATTCCCCTCCGGCTAGGGCAGGTTCAAATGTGCCCTCCGTGGGTGGGTGCTAGCTGACCCTAGCATAGCTGTGCTCTCCCATGTGACAGGGTAGCACTGAGTTTAATGCCATGTCCTCCAGTCTCTTTGCTCTCTGTCCACCAAGTGCACAGATTTTTTTGTGCCATGCAACGGCTGCCAGGGGCCGGGGGCCAGGGGCTGGGGGGCTGGCATCAGCAATTCAAAACTGTCTTTCCTACCCTCTTCAGCTCCTCTTTCAGCAATAAGAAGTTAAAACCAGATGCTGTGATTACTTACCTAATTTGCAGTTCTTAAGACAGTGTTTTGAGTGTGTGTGTGTGTGTTTGTGTGTGTGTGTTTGTGTGTGTGTGTGTGTGTGTAGTTGTTAAAATTTGCTGTTCTTGTGTGTGTATGTTTTGGGAGGATGATCAGTGGAAGCTTCAATTCAGCCATCCTGCCTCCCCCTTACAATAAATTATTGTTAACTATAATCACCTAATTGTGCTATTAAAACTTCTATTCTCCCAATTCCACAATTTTGGCTTATTTCTTCTGATATAGCACTTCTGGAGTTAGAACTACTAGTAGACGCCCACCCTTTGTTATGCAGCAAGCCCTGGTAACTTCTCCCTTGTATTCCCACTCTCAGAGGCAGTCTCCTTCCTACATATCCTCGGTCGGCAAGCCGTAAGCAGAGAGATAATACTGCTGGTTAGAAAATTTGAGGCTAACTAGGACAAGACTGATGGGAAAAATATAAAATGTTAATGGTTGGACAAAATATAGCTAATACTTCCAAATGATTCTAGATTCTATAATTCTAAGTATAAAAATGTAATTTCAAAGGAAGTTGTTATTTTGCATATATACCCAGAAGTAGAATTACTGAATCATATGGTAATTCCATTTTTTATTTTTTGAGAAACTGCCTGTGATGGTTAATTTTGTGTCAACTGAACTGGGATGTGGGGTGCCAAGATACGTGGTTAAACATTAAACATTATTCTAGGTGTGTCTGTGAGGGTGTTTCTGTATTATTAACATTTGAATTGTTAATGATTTCAGATAGTTGAAGGCCTCAACAACAACAAGAACTTATTATGTTGTGGTTAAAAAAAAAGCCAGATTCAAAACTTGGACAAGGAGCTTGGCATAAAATCTATCATTGCCACAGGGAAATATGGCTAGATATGTCAATTAGCTACTCATGTGGATTGAAAGAAACATTGGATAGGACAATCTGCTTTACTACTCAGTTTTTTCTTAGAGAATATTCAATAGGTTTCCAGTAGTGTAAAATCATCTGGAAAACTTGTCTTTTCAAGTTCATATCTCCTTGGTTCAGCAAGAACTGTATTCTGATTAAACTACTCACTCACTCGTTCACCCATTTGTTCATTCAAGAAAGATTCATTCAGTGCTGAATATTTGTCAGACATTGGGCTAGTACTGTGGGGTGAAAAGAGTATGATATCAAATAGCTTATCCTTTAGCTAAAGCTATACCTGAGTGAAAATGATTACAGCTCTGGGTACTGTATGCTAAGAAGGCTTATACCCAGGGTGAATGCTAGTGTATGAGGGGAACAGCTGTTCTATTATACTTGAGGGAGAGGAGGCACAGAGATGATAACATGCCCTAGCTGACATTTGAAGAATAAGTGTGCCAGTGTTCAAGTGCAAAAGAAAGGCAAGGATATTGTGTGCAGGATTCAGAATGAGAGCAATATTAAGGAATCATTGGTAGTTCAATACAAATAAAGACAGCAAAGTTGAAATTGGAGATGTAGCACAGAAGAGATAAGAATGCATGAGGGAGACCTTTCTCTTATCACCATAGTGTATGATCCAACTCTTCAGGATGAAAGAGATATCTGGCAATTTGACTTCCTGCTTTTTGAGCTTCAGTTCTTGCTATACCTTTCTGTTACTTCTCCTTTCCCCCAACTCTCAGCCCCACCTATTTTCAACACTGTGGAATATTCTGTGAAACTGTCAATCCCCCAGTAGTACCCTGAATGTAACAATTCCTCTCTTGTGATTCCACAGCACATTGCTCTGTGCTTACTATGCTGTGCTATGATTATTCACCATTTCTGCTCCTCCCAATGGATTGTGATCTCCACCAAGGCCCAGATTTTACCTCAATAAATATTTGTTGAAGGCAAAAAAAGTATTTATTTTTAAGGACACATCCAGAAGCCACTAAGAATATGATTGGCAATATTAAAATTAGTCTATATCAAAGAAAATATCAAAAGTAAATTCAAAAAGCAAATGAAAAACTTAGGAAAATATTTTAACCATACGTGAAAAGGGACTAACATTCTTTCTATAGAAAGATACACGCTGAAAAATACAATCATAGGTGGAGCAAGATGAGGGATTAGGAGGCTCCTCTGATTGCCCCCCCCACCCCCCGCAGAAACATGAAATTTCAAAAACTAACTACAGAAAAAAAGCACCAGTATAAGAACCAAAAATCAGGTGAGCAATCACAGTACCAGGTTTTAACTTTATGTTACAGAAAGACACACTGAAGAGGGTAGAAAAGGCAGTCTTGAATTGCCAACACCAGCCCTCCCTCATCCCCCAACAGCAGCTGTGTGACATGGAGAAAGAACAGTGCACTTAGTGAAAGGAGAGCACAGAGACTGGGGGACTTAGCATTGAACTCAGTGTTGCCCTGGGTATATACTTAAAAGAAAGGAAATCAATATATCAAAGAGATATCTGCACTTCCATGTTTGTTACAGCTCTGTTCATAATAGCCAAGCTTTGAAAGCAACCTAAGTGTCCATCAACAGATGAATGGATAAAGAAAATATGGTACATATACACAGTGGAGTACTATTCAGCCATAAAAAGAATGAGATCTTGTCATTTGTAATACCATGGATGGAACTGTAAGTCATTATGTTAAGTGAAATAAGCCAGGCACAGAAAGACAAACATCGCATATTCTCTCTTATCTGTGGGATCTAAAAATCAAGACACCTAAACTCACGGAGACAGAGAATAGAAGGATGGTGACCGGAGGCTGTGATGGGTAGTGGGGGGTGGGGATGGCAGGTGGGGATAGTTAATTGACACAAAAGCAGTTTGAATAAATGAATAAGGCCTAATATTTGATAGCACAACAGGTTGAATACAGTCAATACTAATGTAATTGTACGTTGCAAAATAATGAAAAGTGTTTAATTGGATTATTTTTAACACAAAGATTAATAATTGGGATGGATATCCCATCTTCCATGATATGATTATTATACACTGAATGCCTATATACACCTTTTATGTACCCCATAAATATATACACCTACCATGAACCCACAAAGATCAAAAATTGTTAAAAAGAAGGGATAACTCATGGATGGGTACAATCACTTGGCATCAGAATTGACTCTGTTGTGTACCTTGTCTATTTCCATTTACTATTAACATTTTAATTTACATTCCTCCTTTGAAGATCTATCCATCCTTTCCAATATCACTTCCACTGCTCTATATCAAGCTCTCATCACCTATCTCAGAGACCACTACAGCAACCTCCTTGCCCAACTCTTCACTTTTCTGTACTTAGAACTAAGTGGTTGCATACATATCACTGTAATAACACTACAGATCTCACAAGGAAAATCTTCACAATCTTCAATGAAAGTTTAGTTGACAGCAGAGCTCAAGTTGGTCAAACTTCCTAAGCATCATTCATAATTACAAATTAACCTTAAGTTGGCTGTAGATGGGATGCCCTACAGAGAAACTCTTAAATTAAAATAATTTACAAGCCATAAATCACAGTTGTTTGGTAATATGTTTCTACGGTAAAAAGTAACTGTCAGAAGCTAAATGTCATTATTTCTTGTTATATTCACAAATACATACATATATGCATACCTGTATACATATTTGTGACATCTTTTCCCCAAAACTACTTTTCTTTATTATTCCCATGGAGCGCCACCGTGTACCTGATTAATAATGTATTTGAGTGTCATTATATCATGAAAGATGTTATTAGCTGCAACTAATAGATATCCTGAATAAAACTGGTTTAGACAATAAACAATTCTTCTCATCCATGATAAGATTATTACACATTGAATGCCTATAGCAAAACATTTTATGCACCCCATAAATATATGCACCTACCATGAACCTACAAAGATAAAAAGTTGTTAAAAAGAAGGGACAACTCAGGGACAGGTAAAATAACACCGCTCTTTAGCACTAGCACCTATTCTATGTGGTTTCCTGGAATTGTCTTTCTTTGCATATTGGCTTTATCCCCAAACTAAGAAAAAGGCAGTGGCAGCAGGTTCAGGCATCATATCCAGACATGACAATATCCAAAGGAGAAAAAAAAGACTGTGTTTCCCTGAACCTCCTACTTAGGAATGAGAAAACTTTCCAGAAGATTCCTAAAATGGGTTGCCTTGTGTCCCCCCAAAAAGATATATTTGAGTCCTATCCTCTGATACCTGCAAATGTGACCTTTTTTGGAAATAGGGTCTTTGAATATGTGATTACTTAGGATGAGATTATAGTACATTAGAGTAGACCCTAAATCTAATGATGGGCATTTGGATAAGAAAGCTATGTCAACGCAGAGAGACAGAGGAGACACACAGGGGGAAAGGTCAGTGAAGACAGAGGCAGTGATTGGAGATTGCAGCTGCAAGCCAAGGAATGACAAGGATTGTAGGGAGACCCCCTGAAACTATTGCTGTGGAATAAAAGATGAAATGCTCCTGATTATTGTAAATACAAAGTTGCGTGCGGGATTGTGTAAAGACGATGCCAGGTTGGACTGCAAGAATGAGTCAACAACACGTGATGTGCTTCCCCCTGCAGAGAGCCTAAGAACGGACGTGCAGTCAGGGAGGTTTCACATCACCAAGATTCCTATCCCAGAAAAGCAGATGTTCATAGCTCTGGGAATGGAATGCAACCCTTGTGGAGAGCCTATAAATGGACACATGAGGGGCGCCTGTCCATATGGATAAGATAGGGCTATAAACGCCCTCATCTTGCCACGGCTCTTCTGGGCCTCTTTAGGGTTAAGGTATACTCCCTTCTGAGAATTTCTGGTCAAACTGGTTGTCTAGCTTCACGTCCTGTTGTCCTGTTTCTATGGATTGTTTGTAACCAGCTTTTGCTGCAACTGTTACTGCTGATTAATATCTTGCTAATCATAGGTTATGGAAAGACTGTGTTTCTGTTTTAAGGCTCTGTTAGAAATTACTGGTGAACATACTATATTGTAAATTCTTATCTGTGTATACTGTACTTCTGCATACAGATGTTATGTTAAAGAATTACTTCATCCCCATGTGACCATCTCACCTCATAATCAAATGACCCTAAATCCCTCACTAACCTACCCCCGCCCTCACTAAACTTAATAATAAATGCTGGTATATCCAGTGCATTGGTGGCATCGTGGAACCAGAAGGCGGTGAGCCCCCGGACCCAGCTTTCACTATCTTGTGTGTGTCTATTATTTATCGACCTGCCAATGTGCCTGGGAACAAAGAAAGAGCCCCGTTGCATTGCAGGCTGCTGGCCAGATCCTGCAATAAAGGATTGTCTGCAACTACCAGAAACTAGGAGGGAAGTATGGAACAGGTTGTCCTTGAGAGGTTCCAGAAGGAACTAAATCTCCAGACACCCTGATTTCAGACTTCTGGCCTCTAAAACTATGAGGGAATAAATGTTTCTTGTTTTAAGCTCCCCCTACCCCCGCAAAAAAAAAAAAAAAAAAAAAAAAAAAAAAAAAAAAAAACAGGCACATAAAGACAAACTGCCATTTTCTCACTTACTTGTGGGAGCTGAAAAATTAAAGCAATTGAACTCATGGAGATAGAAGGATAGTTGCCAGAGATTTGAAAGGGTAGTTGGGGGCTGGGGGGAAGTAAGGATTGTTAATGTTTTTAAAAAATACTTAGAAATACTGAATAAGACTTAGTATTTGATGGGACAACAGGGTGACTATAGTCAATAATAATTGTACATTTAAAAATAACTAAAATGGTATAATTGAATTGTTCATAACACAAAGAATAAATGCTCAAGCAGATGGATACTCCATTTACCATGATGTGTTTATTATGCATTGCATGCCTGTATCAAGGTATCTTATGTACCCTGAAAATATATATACCTACTAGGTACCCACAAAAAGTAAAAGCTAAAGAAACACAATCATATGGCAAGGTGCACAAATAAAGAAATATAAAATCAAAATACAAATTTCTCTTTTTGATGGGTAAATGAAGTTGATGTTTTAATGAATCCAGAGTTGAACAGAGAGGTGTAAATAGAAAATGATTTTGACTCAAGCAGAAGATAAGTGTTAGGGCTGGGGCTTTGTAATGAGAGGTTTCATTGGAGATGAAACAAAAAATGTTATAAAATCTGCAAAAATGTCCTTCCAGTGGCAAGGGGAGATTACCCTACTTATCCTCTTAACTGGGTTTTTAAAAAGCTGTGGGCCTCAAATTATGTAGTAATGATCACATCCATGAGTCTGTGTCTAACACACACACACACACACACACACACACACACACACAACCTTAAAGCAGCTTAGAATGATTAAATACTCAAGCTCTGAAGCCATGCCTCTGGGCCCACATCCTGGCTGTATTTCTATGTGAACTTAGCTGTGTTATCTAATCTTTGAAGGCCTCCTTTTCTCCACATGTAAAATGAAGATAGTGTTATGCCTACATATGGGGTGGGGTGAAGGGTAAATTAGTTAAGAAATTTAATACTTAAAAATGGTATGGCAAGAAAGCACTGAGCCATTGTTATTATTGTTATTGTTATAATTTTTATAATTAAAAATTAAAATACATAAAAATATTAATATTAACTCAATAATGAAATGAAATTATAAGTACATCATTTAATTCTGTTTTTGCTTTTGTAGCTCATCTAAATTCCTTAATAATATTGCTTATATAATCAGAAAAAATCAATCAATGTTATTTTGTTAGAATACTAGCAATTTTGAGGAAAATTTTAAGTCTTTCTTGGACCCAAATAAAATTTGATCTATAACATCTATCTAAAAGAGTCTGAATGATCATTTTAAAGCTATTTACATTTGAATCCTTTGGACATTGTAGAAAGCGTAGGTCAACAGAAAGAAAATGGCAAAAATCACAAAATCCAGAGATCCACTCTTAACACTTTGTTGGATCATAATGTTAGGAGGCTCCTGTGAACCATATTACACTAGGTGAGTGTGGTGGTGACTCAGTGGATGCAGCCCTGCCACCTCAGGACTTTTCCAGCCAGCTCCGTCTCCCTAGAATCTTTTGTGAAAGACTTTACTAGCCACCCTGATGGTAGACTCTTCAAGCCAAAAGCGGAGGTTCCCTCATGGAATCCCTCTCTGAGGCTTATTTTTTCAAATCAACTTTGCCTAAACCCACTCTCTCGTGCACTTTTTTCTTTTCTCCTCCCTTCAAGGCTGAAAGGAAAGTAACCAATGATTACGTAACTGAACCTTTTCTTGGGACATTGTTTAAATTTAAAACATTTGAACACAACACAGCATACACAAGGGCATGTGTGAGTGTGTGTGTGTGTGTGTTTACGTTCACATGTATGCTTGGGTATTAATACATCTCAGGACAGTTTAGGAAAACTACTGTTTATTGGTTGGAAAACTGGAGGAAGAGTTCAGGATACTAATGCTGCTCAAGTACAAATTTCCCAGTGCAGATACCTTCAAAAAGCCATCCTTCTGTATTGTAGTGAATTAAAATACTATCTTAGAAGTGATGGGCTTTAAAACCATGTTTTTTTCATATATCAGTTGGCCTTTTATACGTCTTCTTTTCAGAAATGTTTATTCAGGTCTTTTGACCATTTCCTAAATAGGGTTATTTGTTTCTTTTTTCTTTTTTTTTGTTATTGAATAATCGGAGTTACTCATATATTTTGGATATGAAACCCTTACCTGTTGTATGATTTGCAAATATTTTCTCCCAATCTGTGGATTATCTCTTCACTCTTTTCATTGTTTCCTTGGCTGTGCAAAAGTTTTTAGTTTGATGCAATCTCATTTGTCTATTTTTGCTTTTGTTGCCTGTTTTTGGGGTCATATGCAAGAAATCATTGGCCAGACCAATGTCATGTTAAGTTTTCCCCTGTGTTTTCTTCTAGCAATTTTATGGTTTCAGGTCTTACATTTCAGTCTTTAATCCATTTTGAGTTGATGCTGTTTTTGTTTTTTTGTTTTTTTGTTTTTTGTTTTTTGTTTTTTTTTTTTTGAGATGGAGTCTCACTCTGTCACCAGGCTGGAGTGCAGTGGCACAATCTCAGCTCACTGCAATGTCTGCCTCCTGTGTGTTCAAGTGATTCTCCTGCCTCAGCCTGCCAAGTAGCTGGGACTACAGGCACGTGCCACCACATCTGGCTAATTTTTTGTATTTTAGTAGGGACAGGGTTTCACCATGCTGGCCAGGATGGTCTCGATCTCTTGACCTCGTTATCCACCCGCCTTGGCCTCCCAAAGTTGATTCTTATATAAGGGATGTATAGAGTCCAATTTCATTCTGTATTTGGACAGCCAGTTTTCCCAATACAATTTATCAAGGACACTGTCTTTTCGCCATCATGTGTTCTTGGCCCCTCTGTTGAAATTCAATCTATCATAGACAAATGGGTTTATTTCTGGGCTTTCTAGCCTGTTCTGTTGCATACCAGTGCCATTCTGCTTTTGTTACTATAGCTTCACAGTACACTTTGAAATCAGAGACTTTGATGCCCGCAGCTTTGTTCTTTTTGCTAAGAATTTATTTGGCTATTTGGGGTGTTTTGGGGTTCCACGCAATTTTTAGGATTGTCTTTTGCTATTTCTATAACAAAAGGGTCATTGGAATTATAATGGGGGCTGCATTGAATCTGTAGGCCCCTTTATGTAGCATGAATATTTTAACTATATTAATTCTTCCAATCTATGAACACTAGAGAGCTTTCCATTTATTTGTGTCTTCTTCTATTTCTTTAATCAATGTTTTATAGTTTTTAGTATAGAGATGTTTCACCTTCTTGGTTAAATTTACTTCTACGTATTTAAGGTTTTGATGTTATTGTAAATAGGATTGTTTTCTAAATTTCTTCTTCAGATAGTTCATTGTCAGTGTATACAAATGCTACTAATTTTTGTATGTTGATTTTGTAACTTGCAACTGTACTGAATTCATTGATCAGTTCTAAAAATTTTTGGTGGAGTCTTTAAGTTTTTCTATATATAAAATTATATCATCAGCAAGCAGAGATAATTTTACTTCTTCCTTTCCAATTTGGATGCCTTTTATTTCCTTTTTTGCCTAATTGCTCTGGCTTGGATTTCTAATACTATATTGAATAGAAGTGATGAGAATTGTTATCTTTGTCTTATTCCTGATCTTAAAAGAAAAATCTTCAACGTTTCACCATTGAGTATGACGTTAGCTGTGGGTTTGCCATATATGGCTTTTATTGGGTTAATGAACATTCCTTATATACCTATTTTGTTGAGTGTTCTTATCATGAAAAAACATTACATTTTGTCAAATGATTTTCTACATCTATTGTGATAATCATATTATTTTTGACCTTCATTCTGTTAATATGGTGGATCACATTTATTGACTTGCATATGTTTAAACATCCCAAAGATAAATCCCACTTTATCATGGTATATGATCTTTTAACTACTATTGAATAAGGTTTTCTACTATTTTGTTAAAGATTTCTATGTTGATTAAGGATATTCGCCTGTAGGGTTTTTTGTTGTTTTGTTGTTCTGTCTTTGCCTGGCTTTGCTCTCAGAGTAATGCTGGCTTTGTAAAATGAGTTTGAAAGTTCGCCCTCATCCCAGAATTTTTGGAAGAGCTTGAGAAAGTTTGGTACTTGTTCTTTAATTGTTTGATAGAATTCAGCCATGAAGCCATCTGTCCTGGGGTTTTCTTTGATGGGGACCTTTTATTATTGATTCAATGGCTTTATTCATTATTGTTTGGTTCAGATGTTCTATAAACCCATGATTCAGTCTTGGTAGTCATATTTTTCTAGGAATTCATCAATTTATTCTAGAATATCCAATTTGTTAGTGTATACTGGTTCATAGTTGTCTCTTAGTAGCATTTTTGCCTCTGTCTTATCAGTTGTGATGTCTCTTCTCTCATTCCTGATTTTATTGTTGAGCTTTCTCTCTACTCTGTTAGTCTAAATAAGGATTTGCCACTTTAGTTTTACAAAAACCAACTGTTAATTTAGTTGATCTTTTCTATTGTTTTCCTAGACTATTTTATTCTCTAATATTCATTATTTCCTTTGTTCTCCTAACTTTGGGTTTAGTTAGTTCTTCTATTTCTAGTTTCCTGAGGTGTAACATTAGGTTGTGTACTTGATATTTTCATTCTTCATTCTTTTTTGATAGAGGCATTTAATGCCATAAATTTTCCTCTTGGAACTGCTTCTGTTATGTCTCATAAGTTTCGGTATGTTTTATTTGCATTTTTGTTTGTCTCAAAATATCTTTTAATTTCTCTTTTAATTTCTTTTTGGACTCAATTATTGTTCCTGAGCATATTGTCTAGTTTTCACATATTTGTGAATTTTGCATGATTCCTTCTATTATTGACTTCTAGTTTCATAAGATTGTGGTCTGAAAAGATATTTGATATGATTTCAGTCTTCTTAAATTTGTCAAGACTTAGTCTGAGGTCTAACATATGATCTATCTTAGAGAATGTTCCATGCCCACTTGAGAAGAATGTTTATTCTGTTGCTGTTGAATGGAATGTTCTGTATATGTCTGTCAGGCCAATTTGATCTGAAGTGCTCAACATCACTAATTATCAAGGAAATGAAAATTAAAACCTCAATGAAATATTACCTCTCACCTGTTGAAATGGCTATTGTCAAAATGATGAATGAGAACAGATGTTGGCAAGGGTGTGGAGAAATCGAAACCCTTGTACACTGTTGATGGAAATGTAAATTAATACAGCCATTATGGAAAACAATATGGAGATTCCTCAAAAATACTAAAAATAAAATTACTTTATGATCCAGAAATCCCATGCTTAGGTTTCTATCTAAAGAAATCAAAACCAGTGTGTTGAAGACATGTTTGAACTTCCATGTTCATTGAAATGTTATTCTCAATAGCCAAGAATTGGAAATAGCTAAAGTACCTATCAACATTTAAAATATGTGGTATACATACACGATAGAATATTATTCAGCCTTTAGAAAGAACAATAGTTGTCATTTGCAACAATATAGATAGATTTAGAGGACATTATGTTAAGTAAAATAAGTCAAGCACAGAAAGGTAAATATTGCTTGCTGTCACTTATATGTGGAATCTAAAAATTTGAACTTATAGAGCAGACCTGTGGTTACCAGAGGCTGGGGTAGAGGTGGGGTGTGGAAAAGGGGAAATGTTAGTCAAAGGGCACAAAGTTTCAGTTAGAAAAGAGTAATAAGTTTTGTTGATCTATTGCACTTCATGGTGACTGTAGTTAATGTATTGTATACTTCAAAATTGCTAAAAGTGGATTATAAATGTTCTCACCATAAATAAATGACAAGTATGTGAAGTGATTAATGTTAACTAGCCTGATTTGCTCATTATACGATGTATACATGTATCAAAGCATCACGTTGTATCCCATAAATGTACATAATTATTCTGTGTCAATAAAAATATTTTTTATAAAACCCTGAAATATTGGGGAAGGGGCTAAATTGTTGCAGATAAGGTCAGAGAAGGGAAAGAATACTACTATATTTCTAATGAACTCCTGGAGAGTGTCTTGATAACTTTAAAGCCAGGGTTATAGTTGCTGTCTACCAACAATAAAATGTGTGTAATAAGAATTCACATTCATAAAGAGTAAGAAGGGAAAACACATTAGCACCGTGCTGTTTCAAAATGCAGAAAAGGTATTTGATCAAATGATTGATTCTCATCTGTCATGAAAAGCTTTCTTATAAAGGAAAAAGAAGTCTTACTATGTTCCTAACAGCAAAATAGTCGATTCTCATTTCCTGCCTAATGAATTATTTACACACTCTACTGAAGGCCATTTATACTCAACCTACACTTACACAATGCTCCAGAAGGTGGCACATTCAATTACACAAGAATTTCTTCTAAATTCAATATATTCTCTTCATTTAATCTGTGAAAATGTTGGTGTTCTCCACCTTAGAGATGAATGAAGACCCATGTTACGATACAATGGTCCTTTTATGATCACAGAGCAATGTGTGAAGCAAGTTTTTGTAAGAATATCATTATTTGATCAATGTAAATCAAGAACCAGTGCAACTCTAAAAGCATGGTTCAGCCCCTTATCTAGTACCTTGGGTTCTTTTGACATTTCCTTACTCTGCCCCTACATTGCTCCTGCCTGACCCAGCTCCTTCAGGAACTAGCACTCCTTGAACTAGTAGATGTTCAGGAGAAACTGAAGGAGCTGGCAACCTTTAAACTAAAGATGGTGCTTTTAATATCTTGAGAAACCTTTTAAGTGACAAATGAGTTGCTAGTTTTAAGCATTTTTTTCCTCAAAGGCATGCATTTAGCATACTTAGCTCATTCATATTACAGTAGCAGATTTTCACCTCAAAGAAAAGCTCTATTCTTGTTCCTCATGCTGTGTAGGAGGAAAGAAAGGTGTGTCTTAAAAACACTGCAGGCTCCTTCAGTCATTTGTGCCTCATTACAGATGTAGGTTGGGCATCTTACAATAATAGTAGTGGCAACAGGCTGGTTCCCAGACAGAGGTCCCAGTGTAGCAAGGATGAATGAAAGTGAAATGGAGACCAGCTGACATTTAGGTTGCTCAAAATGCATTGGGTTTTCATGTTATGTTGCTGGTAGAGTTAATTTCCCCATTCATACAATAGCTGGAGCAACAGGTGCAATGACTTTCTTGATTTTAGAGCAACATATTATATCACTTTGACATGGTCATTGAAAGAAAATGTCTCTATGTAGAGTAAAGACACAATGGTGAAACTAACAGAAATGTGGCAACAACATGAAAATTTAGCTGGATTAACACATTGCAGCAATAATTTCTAGTTCAAAATAATTTACTAAACACCAGGACCTCTTTGTAGGTAAAATTGGGTACATTTTAATGTATCTAGGAATGCCAGTTGCCTCTTGAGAATTTCATCTTAAAATTCAAATTTAATTTTTGAAAATGATCTTTAAATTATTAATCTTATGGTCTTATATTACTAAATATTATCTGAATGATAATAATACAAGTTTTGCGATTTGGGCTATAAAATTTTGCTTTTTATTATCCATAATAAGCTGAATAATTCCCCCAAAATCACATTTTTTGACTTCCTAGAACTTATAACTTTAAAATTAAGTATTTTAAAATTATTGAGAGATATACTATTGATATAGAAAGATGCATACATGTACAGTTTAAAGAATAAATTAGAAAATAGTGTAAACCCCATCTAAGTAAGGAACGGAACACTGCCAGCCAGCAAGCACATCAGCAGCTCCTTGCACATTCACTATTTGCTACTTATCTGCGTTCCCGTTCCACCAGAGTGTTATTCTGACTCTTGAATATGCTATTTGCTTTTCTGTTTGTTTTTTTACCACATATGATGAAACCATAAACAATATACTATTTAATTTAGCCTGAACTTTATATAATCAAAATGGACTTGGAGATATCTTTTTGTCTTGTTTCTTTCTATCAAAATTATAATTGTGAAAATTATCAATGTTGTTCCATGTAAACATAGTTCATTTATTTTTATTGCTGAAAAATATTTCATTATGTGTAAACAACAAAATGTAATTATCCATTTTACTAATGATAAATTTTTGAGTCATTTATGTTTCTTGCTATTGCAAGCAATGATTCAATGAGCAGTTTTGTATGGGTTTCCTGGTGCACAAAAATATGAATTTAAATATGTTATATACCTAAAGATTGTCTTCTGTATTACAGTTCATTTTCATCTTCAACTTTATGAAATAGTGTCAAAATTATTTCCAAATTTACTTCACCAATTAATATTCCCAACAGCAGTGGATGAGAATTTCTGTTGGGCCACATTGTTGCCAAACCTAGTCAATGATTGCCAATCTGTTGTATAATATACATAACTGTATCACATTTGGGTTTGAATTTGCATTTCAGTGAAACTTGAACACCTATTCAGAAATGTATTGATTATTTGGATTTCTTCTTTTGTGGAGAGATTGTTTAAGTTTTTGGTCCTTTTGTCTATTTTGTTGTCTATAGTATTAATATTGATTTGTAGAAGCTTTTATATATTCTGTACTTGAATCCTTTGTCAACTATACTATAAGAAAACTTTTCCTTTCAGTTGGTGACTAATCTTTTTAAATATTTCCCCTGGTCTTCTGATTAATAAACTTTTTTTTCATTTTAATGCAATTTAACAGTATTTTCTTTGGCTGGGTGATTTTAATGTTTTGTTTAGTAGTTTTTTCCTATGCTACAGTCAGGTTGACAGTCTTCTCTATTGTATTCTAAATGTTTCATATGTTGGGTATTATAGTACATGGCTTAAATTTAGCTGGAATTTATCTTTCACAAAATATTAAGTTGGGGTAGAATTTTTGCCCATGGATTCCTAATTGAGCCAGCACCATTTTTTTAAAAAAATCCATTATTCCCTGTTGATCTTCAAAGGTCTGTTTTTTTAATATATCAAGTGCCATAAGTGGGTCTGTGTCTGTTCTCTCTATTCTGTTTTGTTGAACTGCTTCATTCCATTTACCAACAAAAACATTCTTGATTACTGTAGCTTTATAATAAGCCTTGATATCTAGTTAGAAAACACCTTTACTTTGTTTTTCTTTATGTTGGTCTTGACCCTCCTTACTACCACTTTTCTATTCCTTATAAACTTTTGAATCAGCTTATCAAATTCCACAAAATTGATGGTGAGAATTTCCACTGGGATTATATTGACATTTTAATGCAATTTGAGTAGAATTTATATCTTTATGATATTGTGTTTTTAATTCATGAATGTTTATCTCTACATTTAATTAAGTCTTCTTTAATTTCTCTCATTAAGGCTACAAGATTTCTCTGTAAAGGTCTTACACATACTTTATTAGATGTATTCCAAGGTACTTGACATTTTAAATTTTTATTGCAAATTGTTCCACATAAATAAAAATATAATGGAATTTGTTATAAGCATCTAATATCCAGTAAAATTCTTATTTTTCATATTCTTTCTGCAATTTATTTTAGATCATCCATATCCACAATCATACAATTTGTGAGTAACAACAATATTGTTTCATCTTGTACGATTTCAATATATTTTAGTTACAAATTTTGACTGTGGAGGCAAGCACATGCAATATAATGGTAAATAGTTGTGTAGAGCATCATCACCTAAACAGAAATGTATTAAAAGTTCCCCATAGTTTGATACACTTTAGCAGGTAAAATAATCTTTCTTTTATTCCTGGGCTATTAAAGGATTATTTCTTTTATTTATGTGAGATGTACGTTCAGCATAAAACTTCTTTCAATGCTGAGTATACATTTATTTTATCAAATGATTTTTGTCATTAAATAATTATATGAATTTTGTGTCCTATAGTAATGCAATAACATACATTAGCTGACTTTCTAATGCTATGTCACCTTGTTCCAAGTGTATTAACCTTTTTATGTATTGGAGATTTGGCTTGCTGTTATTGTGTCTGGAATTTTCACATCTATGTTCATTAGAGAAATTGGCCTATAAGTTGCTCTTCCTGTATTTTCCTCCTCAGGTTTCTGTATCAGAGATTGGGTAGTATAAAAATGAGTTGGGGATTGTTGCTTTTTTCTATATTCTAGAAGAGTATCGTGAGATTAGAGCCATTTTGTCTTCAACATTTGAGATCACTTCTTATGAGGCCATCTTTTGCTCATCATCTGACCAGCATTCCTTGCAGTCTACTGAGGGTAGGTAGGGTGTGGGGCAGGTTTATCTCTAGTTCTCCCTTCCTGGGACTGTGAAATTAGCAGGTAAAAATGCAGGGAATCTAGTTAAATTTCAATTATTTTTCATTGCCTATATGACTGCACACTGAGATATACAAATATTGCATGGAATAGATATATGCAAAAATTATCCACGGTTTATCTAAAATAAATTATAAATATTTAAATTATATACCCCTCTGTTTAAGTATATTTACTTGATGATTTCTCTCTCTTTATGAATTCCTTGTTTTCCAGAAATTGCTTACAAATTTCTTTACAGTTAAAGCCTATTTACATTGTAGCATACGTTCTACACCGGTCACTGCCAACTTATTTAATTATTTTGTCCATTGAAAATTATTAATGAGAACATATGCTTAAAGTTAACGACTTTGATAACTTATTTTCAACTTTGATTTTTTAAGCATGGCATAACTTGCTTTACCATTCTTCAAGATTGTGTTTCATCTATGACCAACGATTTTTTCAATGTTGTCCAGTAACAAAAAGAATATTATCATGATTTTTAATCCCCTTCTTCTTTAGTCTTACATAAGATGATTTCATGTATTCCCACACTGGAAGAATATATAATAATATTCATGTAAAAGGATCAAATTATTCAAGCAATGAAATCTATTTCAAAGGATCGTTATGGCAAGTGTCATAATAATTATCCACTCAAGTGAGAATTTCTTTTCCATTAATGAGTAATGTTGTCCTTTAAAAAAAATTGACATTTAAGGGATTATTTATAAATTATTTATTTTTTCCCTCCAACCTTTATTTTAGGTTCAGAGAGTACATGTGTAGATTTGTTACATGGGTAAATTTCATGTCACTGAGGTTTGGTATACAAATGATTTCATTACTCAGATAGTGAGCATAGTATGCAATAGGTGGATGTTTGTTTCTCATCCTCCTCCCACTGTCTACCTTTAAGTAGGCCCCAGTGTCTGTTGTTCCCCTCTTTGTGTCCTTCTATACTCAATATTTAGCTCCCACCTATAAGTAAGAACACGTGATATTTGGTTTTCTTTTCCTGCACTAATTTGCACAGGAAAATGGCCTCCAGCTGCATCTATGTTCCTACAAAGGACATTATTTTATTCTTTTTTATGGCTGCATAGTATTCTGTGGTGTATATGTACCACGTTTTCTTTATCTAGTTCACCACTGATGGGCATTTAGGTTGATTCTATATCCTTGTTATTGTGAATAGTGTTGCGATGAACATACGTGTGCATGTCCATGTCTCTTTATGGTAGAATGATTTGTATTCCTTTGGGTATATACCCAGTAACGGGATTGCTGATTCAAATGGTAGTTCTGTTTCAAGTTATTTGAGAAACTTCCCAACTGCTTTCCACGTGGCTGAACTGATTTAACTTCCTGTCAGCAGTTTACAAGCATTCCCTTAGAAATCTCACCAACATCTGTTTCTCTTTGCTTCTTAATATTAGCCATTTTGACTGGTGTGAGATTACATCTCAACTGTGGTTTTGATTTGCATTTCTCTAATGATTAGTGATGTTGACCAGTTTTTCATATGATTGTTGGTCATGTGTATGTCTTCTTTTGAGAAGTGTTCATTCATGTTCTTTGCCCATATATTCAATAACTTCCTTTAAGCAATGAGCACTTTAATAACATTGCTATTCTTTCACTTTGCAAAATCCTATTGAAAAAGAAGCATTGAAAACTATGAACAAGAAATAAGTAGGCTTCACTCAATGGGCCATTTAAAAAGTCAAAAACAATTTGGGGAGCCTTTACTTCGAAATTAAAGTATAATTTCAATGCTTCCAAAAAAACTGAAAAATCTTTCAGTTGAACTGTATTTGTTAGAGAGAGCCAATATTGTCTTGAATAAGAGAATTAAAAAATACTAGATACTAACAAAATCACAAAAATGTTTTGATAAATTAAGACAGTAAATGCCAAAGAGAACAATTTTATGACAATTACTTCAGAGTCAAGAGAATGAATATCAGATACTATTGTTTTTTTGCAGAATATGGAAAGTACAGCTATTTTCTGTAGACTCATTCGTGTTGTGTTTAAACTTTGTAGGTTTTTTTTTTTTTTTTTGAGACGGAGTCTCGCTCTGTCGCCCAGGCTGGAGTGCAGTGGCAGCGATCTCGGCTCACTGCAAGCTCCGCCTCCCGGGTTCACACCGTTCTCCTGCCTCAGACTCCCCAGTAGCTGGGACTACAGGTGCCCGCCACCACGCCCGGCTAATTTTTTTTTTTGTATTTTTAGTAGAGACAGGGTTTCACTGTGTTAGCCAGGATGGTCTCGATCTCCTGACCTCGTGATCCACCCGCCTCGGCCTCCCAAAGTGCTGGGATTACAGATGTGAGCCACCGTGCCCTGCCTCTGTTTCAACTTTGAATAAACATTGTACCTAAATGAAAATATCCACCAAAATTTGTACTTGGATTATCTCTGCCAAAAGCAGTACGTTTTTCTTGTTCACTCCTAAATCAAAAATAGTCTCTGCAAAAGCTTCTGTTTCTGAAGTTTCATTGGAAGGGATTTCATTCACAATAGCTTTATAAGCAAGCATTTTTCATGAGAAAACTATTGCACAAGCAAAGGAAAAGTTGTTTTGTGCATCCTCATGACTTCAATCTGTGGCTATCCTGTAAAAAGGCCTAGATCTTTTATCACAAATGATTTAAATCTATTATTTAGATCTTCAATAATCTCCATAAATGAACTATTTAATTTTTTAATTATTGCAGTAGGTTTTACCCTGACACATCCAAATTTGCCTGCAATTTTAGAATCAGAAAACACTTCTGGTAGTAGTATATTCAAAACATCATTTGAATTGTAAGACTGATGACGATCTATAGTGTCTACTAAGATAAAATAGTCACTATCCCTTGTGACTATTTTAACTTCTTCATATGAATGTCTCTTAAGTAAAAAATGTTGGTCGGGCGTGGTGGCCCATGCTTGTAATCCCAGCATTTTGAGAGTCTGAGGTGGGCAGATCGCTTGAGGCCAGGAGTTCTAGACCAGCCTGGCCAACATGGCAAAACCCCATCTCTACTAAAAATGCAAAACTTAGCAAGACGTGGTGGTACGTGCCTGTAACCCCAACTACTGGGGAGGTTGAAGCAAGAGAATTGCTTGAGCCTGGGGGGCGGAGGTTGCAGTGAGCCAAGATTGCACCACTGCACTCCAGCCTGGGTGACAGAGGAAGACCCCCTCTGGAAAAGGAAAAGGAAAAGGAAACGGAAACGGAAAGGAAGGGAAGTGAAGGGAAAGGAAAAGGAAAGGAAAGGAAAGGAAAGGAAAGGAAAAATGTGTTATTTTATCATTGTCTTTTTGTATCAGTCCGTTTTCAGACTGCTTATAAAGACATACCCGAGACTGGTTAGAAAAAGAGGTTTAATTGGACTTACAGTTCCACATGGCTGGGGACGCCTCAGAACCATGGCGGGAGGCAAAAGGCACTTCTTACATGACAGTGGCAAGAGAAAAATGAGGAAGAAGCAAAAGCGGAAACCCCTGATAAACCCATCAGATCTCGTGAGACTTCTTCACTATAGTTAGAACAGCACGGGAAAGACAGGCCCCCATGATTCAATTACCTCCCCCTGGGTCCCTCCCACAACACTTGGGAATTCTGGGAGATACAATTCAAGTTGAGATTAGGGTGGGGACACAGTCAAACCACATCATCCTGCCCCTGGCCCTTCAAATCTCATGCCCTCACATTTCAAAACCAATCATGCCTTCCCAACATTCCGCCAAAGTTTTATAGGTGTGAACCACCGCCCCCTGCCATCAGTTGTTTTAAATATCCAAGTCCTGTAAATTCTTTGTCAAAGTTACACTATGTCATTTTTAAGTGCTTGTAAATGGTATTATTACATTTTTAATACCGGTGTCCACTTGTTCTTGCTAGCATATAGAAATACAATTGTGTTTTGTATGTTTATCTTGTGTCCTGTGACCTTATTAAACTCACTAATGAGTTCAAAGAGGTTTCTTACTTTTTCTGTAGATTCTTGGGCTTTTATGTGAAGACAATCATGTCATCTGCAAACAAGAGTCATTTTATTTTTTCTATATGATCTATGTGCCTTTTATTTTCTTTTCCTGTCCTACTTCACTGGCTATAACTTCCAGCACTACCTTGTTCTCAATGTCAAAGGGGAAGCATTCAGTCTTTTGCTATTAAGTATAAGGTGATCTGTATATTATTTATAGATGCATTGTATCAACTTGAAGAAGCTTTGCTCTATTCCTACTTTTCTGACAGTTTTTGTTATTATAGGTGTTCAATTTTCAAAAGTGTTTCCTGCATTTATTGATAAGATTATGTGATTTATCTTCTTTAATAGTGTGGAATAATTTATTTTAAATTTTTAATAACCCATGTATCTCTGGAAATCTGTTTTTATGGTTTTTCAACTGACTGACTCAGATTCCACTAAATATTATATATATACACGCAGAAAGACGTTTGTTTTAAGGAACTCTCTCGAGATTATGGAGGCTGGCAAGTCCAAAATATTCAGAGTGGCCTGGTAGGCTGGAAACCAGAGAAAGAGTCAGTGTTGTTCCAATCCCAAGGCCATCTGCTGGTAGAGTTCCCACTTGCTTGAGGGAGGTCAGTCTTTTGTTCTATTTAGGCCTTCAGCTGGTTGGACGAGGCCCACCCACGTTACAGAGGGCAATCTACTGTACTCAAAGTACATCTATTTAAATGAGACTATGTACTCAAAGTCCATCTATTTAAATGTTATTAACATCAAAAACATCCTCTGAAATATCCGGAAGAATCTTTGACCACATATCTGGACACTATGACCCAGACAAGTTGACACATAAAATTAACTATCATGAATATCTTCACAGCAACATCTACATTTGTGTTTGATTGAATAAATGGAGATTGCAGTCTAGAAAAGCAAATTTTCTGTTCAACCTATTTAGAAAATAAGAAAATATTAATTAGATTACTCTGTAATTTATATATTTAGAAGTTTGATCAAAATTTTAAAATTGACAAAATATCTGTGAGAGTATAGAGTATTAATATAAAATAATTTGTGAGAATATAAGTTTGTATGACATTTTGGAGATAATATTTTGGCAATATTTATAAAAATTTAAAATAATTACAACGTTTTCCATTTTAACCAAATTTCTGCTCTACTGTGTTTTTAAGAAAACATACACATTTTCCAAAGAATTTGTGTTAAAAATGTTTATTTAGTTCCATTTATTACAATATAAATTGGGAAACAATTATGTGTTCATCAGTGGAAAAATGGTTAAATCATGGCACACATATTGGAATCCCAATAGTAATACAAAAGTAAATCTGTATGACCTTGTTATGGAAAAATCATTCATTCATTCATTCATTCATTAGTCAAAAGGTTAGTTTATTAATTAAATCAAAAATTTATATTTATGTCATTTACTATTAGTTAATTTATAATACTTATTAAAGGCAAATGGGAGAAGAATAGGTACATCACTTCTCATTGTGTGTTTTAAAATATTGCAATGAGAGGACTGGGGAAATGTAGGTTAAACAGTACAAAGTTGCAGTTATGTGGGATGAATAAATCTAGAGATGTAATGTACAGGATGATGACTATAGTCAATAATATTTTATCGTATAATGGAAATTTCGCAAGAGTAGATTTTTAGTGCTCTTATCACACACAAAATGGTAAATACGTGAGGCAGAATACATTAATTTGCTTGACTACAGGAATCATTTTATTATACATGTTTATCAAAATGTCACATTGTATACTTTATTTATTTGTTTTATTTTATTTTATTTTATTTTATTTTTGAGACAGAGTCTTGCTCTGTCACCCAGGCTGAGGTGCAGTGGCCCCATCTCAGCTCACTGCAACCTCCACTTCCCGGGTTCAAGCAATTCTCCTGCCTCAGCCTCCTGAGTAGCTGGGACTACAGGCGCACACCACCACGCCCAGCTAATTTTTGTAGTTTTAGTAGACACAGGGCTTCACCATGTTGGCCAGGCTGGTCTCGAACTCCTGACCTCGTGACCCCTCCACCTCGGGCTCCCAAAGTGCTGGGATTACAGGCATGAGCCACTGCACCTGGCCATATTGTATACTTTAAATATTTATATTTATATATATACACACATAAAATCATAATATATGTTTATTAAACACATTTATATAGGTTAAAACAAGTAGGATCAGCTTAAACATCAGACTGTTAATCATGGTTATGTGTTTAAAAGTGTTGAATTTTGAAGAAACACTGTGGAATGTGGTTTATCTGTATTGTTAGATTTTTTTGAGAAAGAATCTTTGTAATATTATTTTTATAATTAAAATATTTAAATAAACCTAACAACAGAAATGGTAGCTGGGGATCAGTCATGTAGTTCCTCCTAGCTGATGAAACAGAGAAAATTTGAAATCTGAATGGCTTATAACAATAAATATTTATTTATTTTGCACATGAAAAAAACAGACATGGGTTGGCATAGGCTCTCTGCTATCAGTTGAACCAGAGATTCAGGCTGCTTTCATCTTGTAGTTCCACCATCTCAACACGGGCTCTCCATGTTTGATGCTGAATAAAGGAGAAAGCATGGAAGAGTCAAGCATGGAAGAGTCAAACTGATTCTCAAATACACTGGCCTAGAACTAACAAAGCCTGAAACTGACAAACAAGTTTTTGTTTTTATTTCAGTGGAAAGGCCTACTCACATGATTCTTTCTAGTTATGAGTGTGCTTGGTAATGCACTCAATAAACCTAGGAAGTAGAGAAGGGTCAGATGTGGACAAGCTTTTGCAGACTCTCCAAGAAATTGCTAAATAGTATGTTCTCAATAAAGAGTAACTATCATATAATTTGTTATTACAATAACTCTATTTATTTGTTGGAGAAGTTTCTTGGAAGTGTAAATGTGTCTTAGAATTCACCAACTTTTTCAACAGCCTAAAATATGACAGGTGCTTTTAAATACAGGAGTGCATTTAATTTTCAAAAGGACACTGAAAATATTTGTAGGAAATGTCTACTCTTCTTCACTCAATAGTGCTTTTCTCCACTGCCCTTTGCAATAACATCTACAATCTCAGTAAGCTGAGAATTTTTCCTTTATTTTGGTGCATAATTACATTCTTAGTCCCAAGTTAAGAAAGTAACTATGCACCAAAAGAAAGGAGAAATACCACCTGACTAACATGTTTGAGCACCTGTACAGGTACCATAAAGCACACTGAAAACAAGAAATTTTCTCTGGGAAAAGTACACAGAGACAAGAGGAAATGAAAGTACGGTGAATTATTTTTTCTTTCAAAATCAAAGCTAGCATGTCTGCCAAGAAAACATTTTCTAACTCTTAGAAATGCATTTAGGGATTATTAAGAATTCAGCTTCCCTACATGTTTGCCTTACACAATGATTTCCATGGTCTTTCCTCGTCTATCATTTATGCATGAGGTTTTGATTTTTCCCACCTAGGTATGCTCACTCATAAGTATATACATGGTCAGTTTCAAATAAAACGCCCTATTAAAACCCTACAGCCAATATTAGGGTGTTTCATAAAATCCTCTTCTGACTTCAGAGTTATATCCTAAAAAAAAAAACCAGTAGGTTATGTGACAATTCATATTCTACTAACCAGCCTATTTGGAAAACACCTTCAGAGTGTGGTGAAGATGTTTATGGAGGATGACCACATGTCTAAACTTCACTGTCTAAAGTGAACTTTACATAGAAAGGATTTTTGCTATCAGAGGGATTCCATGATGAAGATCTAGCCGGGAGATATTTACATGGAATTGGAGTACTCTGTAGGGGGGAAAGCAGGTGATTCTTGGCTGTCTGTTCCACTGATAATAGGGTGTAGCCACCAAAAGAGGAGATGGTAAAGATATGGTCAGCAGGTCAAGTTCCAGAATTGGGCAGGAGAATAAACTGAGTAAGACCCAGGGAAAGTGTGTTGTAATGTAGGAAACAGCTGGAGCTAGATAAAAATGTTGGCCCATGGGCACAGTGAGCTCCCACAGAACCCTGGGACTAAATGCAACAGGATCCTGGGTAAATGAAGCCAATAGGCAATCCTCAAATTGTGTTTGATTCTGATTTTCGACACCCATTTTTTAGTTCTTTAGCCACAATGTCATTCTTTTTATCACCTAAGAGATATTTTAAAGTAGTAAGAAGAGAACTTAATTAAAAGACAAAATGTCTGCCTCCGACTGGGAGAAGTGAAACAGAGTGAACTCTAAGCAAATTCTGATCAGGGGTCTAGTAGTCCCAACCCTGCCACATTCTAGCCTTGTGAACTTGGGAATATTGCCAACCCCACTGAGCTTTAGAATCTTTAGCAGTGAAATAGGATTGATAAACCCTGTCATGTGAGACTGGGATATATGCATTTATGTAAAGCTTCTGTCATTGGTTCTGGCATGCCTTGAGTCTTTCATGATTGGTAGATTATTTTGATTATTTTGACCCCAGACCCTACCACTCTCTTATCTGACTTTAATTTATCTAGGAGATGTCAGAGAATATGCAGTGCTCTAGGGCATGGCACACCAAATCATCCAAAATGCTGCTCAGCAAGAAAAACTCTGTAGATCTTCTGCCATAGCAGGATTTGAGGGAATCCTATACATTTGGATGTACCTTGAAGCTCCCAGATTTGTTTCAAGGCCAACTCCTTCTGTTCCTCCTAGCTGTCCTTTCACCCAAACTACCCTTATTTTCTTTCATTTTATTTCCCCCCCAAATCTAGACCTTACACAGTGTTTGACAAATTACCCTCAAGAGAAACACATCAAAACGGCCTTTGCATGGCATGAGCTCTGGCTTTCCCAGCGCAAAGCAAATGGTGCCAAAGACATAATACTATGTTACTGGGAAGTGCAAGAATCCCCAGTTCTTAGTCGTACTTGAGAGAAAGAATACTGCTAAGAGGCAATTTATCCAGAAAAAGGAAATTTATTGAAGGAAAATAGAGAGCAGAGAGTTTATTTAAAGGGACAGAACACTCGGAAAGATAAGGCAGAGCAGGCTGCTGAAAGAGAATGGGCCAGCAGCAGCCAGAGAGTTCTACATTGGGTTTTTATAATGTCAGATTTTTTCTTGAAGTTCCCACCTCTGTCTTAAGTTTCTGCCTTTTTTGTTTGTCTAGTTTTTCCACTTCTGCCTTAAGTCCCTGCCTTTTCCCTGCCTAGTTCCCATCCCAGCCTTCTGGAATGCTTTCTTACTATTGATTAGTTGGTGCACATGCGTGGGCCGGGTGCTGGATAGGAATTCTACCTAATGGCTGCACTGCTCATTACTACCATCCCAGGAAGATTGTATAGTGGTCAAATCTATACGTATTGTTTCTGCATATCTCTTAGGAATTTCTCCTGTGCCTTCTTTCCCCTTATCAGCATTCTGACAGATTAACTGCAGAGTGAGCAATTAGTGGGCTTAATAAGGGGCATTCCTTCCTGTGTAGGTATTCGCCCTCCTCGCTGCTCATGTCTAGCATGCTTGTTTTGGGTGGTTTTTGGGGTGTGAGCTTTTCCAAATCTCCTTTTTTCAGGAGCTCCCCTAACTTGTTCATGTCTAGCTATATGCCTACTCCAACATGTCCACTTGAAGCTGGCTGCACCCTCAATCAGTGCACCTTCTAATGTGGCCTCTCATCGGCTTGCTGTTGCTGGCATCTCTACATATCCTCATCTAGGAAGACTGAGACTAACCTAATAAATATGAAAACGGGACTTAGTCACAGCAATCAGCAGCACATGAGAAACCTTTTTGTCCCTGCAGGGCTGAAATTCTCCTCCCCATGAGCAGAACTGAGAAAGGGATCAAGTCACAACATGCAGCCTAATCCAATAGGACATTTTGTTCCTATGTGCCAGACTCTCCTTGCCTGCATACACAGGGAAAGGTGGGGTGGGAGGTGACAAGAGAGGAACAAGTTTAAGGGGACCCAGTCACAGCAAGAAATATGGCCTGGAAAACTCTTTATCTGCATGAACCCAAGACTGTAATTCTAGCACAGAGACACCAGGGTGCCAGTCATATTAGCAAAATAGACCCAGTCACATGCAGCCCAATCTAGGATGTCTCTGTCTCCTTGGGCCTGAGGTTCTCTTATGTCTTCCAGGATGGACAAGTGACCTATCTACAGTATACTGCAACCCCCTTCCACCATCTGCTCACTCAGATACTTGGAGATAGTATCTGTCTTTAAATGTTTTTGGCAAATGTTGCCTGGGAGGCTACTCCAGCCCTGAGAGTTTGGAAGCGGGTAAAACAAACACAAGCCCTTGAGCTTTTCCTTCTCTCAGAGAACACAAGATAGGCCAAAATACACAACACAATTATTTAAAAACAAAACTCACCCTTTACCCTCTGGCACTAGCAAGATGAACCAAGAATGCAATCTGCCATACACATAACCACTGCCTAGCTAGGGAATGGGGAATGGTAGGCAGGTGAATATAATGCCACAAAGATCTCTTATCAGAATTAAGAGTCTGTTTATTCATTAAACACTACCTGGTTGCTGTAAGTTTATCATTAAATTCCAGAGTTCAAAAACACTTGATTCTGACAGTTTTTGCGAGCTTACTCTTTGCTTGTGGAGGGATGGATTTTGGAGTTCTTTACTCTGCCATCTTCTGTGACTTCACCCTGATGCCATATTAAATGTTTAATCATAGTGTTCAATCACTGGCAGGGTTGCTTGTGATCTAAATTATGTTATAAACTTTTCTGGATTGTCCATCTTCTCTATAGCAGTTTATCAACCTTGACATTGTGAGCATTATTCATCAGACAGATAATTTTGTGTGGTAGAAGTCTGTTACTGGAATTAAGAGAGTTTTGCCACATCCCTGACCTCTACACACTAGATGGCAGTAGCACTTCCACTCTCACCAATTAGGACAACCAAAAATGTCTCTAGGCATTTCCAAATGTCTGGAAGGTGTGTGCAAAATGTCCTTGGTTGAGAACCATGGCTCTATAGTGAATGAGATTTGGATATATGTAAAAAGCTATATAGGTATAAAAATAAATAGGTAGATAGATATGTAGTGTGGTTAGTTGAATAATGACCCCTCAAAAGCTATTTACATCCTAATAAATGGAACTTGTTAATGCTACTTTATATGGCAAAGAAGACTTTGCAGAAGTCATTAAGACAAAGATTTTGAGGTGGGGAGATTATTCTGTATTTTCTGGGAGAGCCTTAAGTGCAATAACATGTGTCGTTATAAAAAAGAGGCAGAGAGAGATTTGATACAAATGCACAGAGGAGAAAGTGATAACGAAGGTGGAAGTGAGGATTGTGGTGATATAACAATGAGCCAAGGAAGGCCTGCAGCCATCAGAAGCTGGCAGCAGCAAGGAACAGGTTCTGTCCTAGAGCCTCCAGAAGAAGTGCAGGCCTGCCTAATACTTTGATTTTGGCTGAGTGATACTGAATTTGTACTTCTGGCCTTCAGGGTTGAGAGAATACATTTCTATTGTTGTAAGCCACAAAGTTTGTGGTGATTTGTTACAACTACCTCAGAAAATTACAATAAATGGATAGATACATAAGTAGGTAGGTAGATAGATAAGTAAATGTAAATATTGTTTAGTGTATACTGTAATTATGTTTTTATTGGTATGATATTAGACAAAGAGCTATGATATTACAGCTATTTTCCCATGGCAATAAAAGTGCTTCATAAACGTCATATGAAAGCTGCATACATTTATTTTATGGACATTCAGTGCCTTGTTGGAAAATGAGGTCATTTCAGACTTTTAAAAATAAATGACACTATAATAATCACCTTTGAACATATAACTTTGGCAGTATATATGAGTATTTCTTTAGAATTAATGCCTAGAAGAGGTATTGTAGTGTCAAATGTATTTCATGTTTATGACTTTAAATATGTGTTGTCAAATTCCCATCTGGCAATGTGCTATGAATTTAAAACCCCATATAGTAGTAGATGAGACAGTCTGGTTGCTTACAACAGTGTAAAACCTAGCATCAAAATTTAGTTTTTCCAAAGGGCAAATAGCTGTATTTTTCTGAATGTAAGAGTAATGTATAACCTTCGAAAACATTCAGAAAATAAATTATGAAGAGTCAAAAAATCCACCCTTCCAGAATTTTCTCTTCTTATGAGCACATACATACATATATACCATCTAAACAGGAGCAGTGGGAAAGAGAAAGAAGAGAGAAATGAAGACACATCAATGGAGTTAGAGAGAGGGGCTTCCTTAGTTGAATATCTTAGAAGTCAGCCAAATCCGTAAGTGAAAGAGAGAGAGATTATTATGTTTGTGTGTGTGTGTGTGTGTGTGTGTGTGTGTGTGTGTGTGTGTGTGTGTATTCCTTTAAATGGGGGCTAGGCTAGATGGGGCATTTTAGTTAATAAGTCAAGGATCATTACTAAGGCCCAGAGAGATTTCAAAAAACTCTGAGAGGGTAACCCAAAATGACTCCCAGAGGAATACTGGATGTATGAAACCGGTGAAAAGTAACCTCTAGGATTAATGGAAAGTTTATAAATTGGGGTTTGTACCCCTAAATGAATATAATAACTATGCAAGCTGTAGTGATAAACACAGTCAGAATTGAACCATGGATTCCCATTCTCTTCCCCAATCTATTCCTCAACAGAGCAAGTTTTCCCCATTCCAGATTATCTGGCCAAATTCTAGGCGTCATCACTGACGGCTGTTCTCATAATCTCAAAGTCATTCAAATTTTACCAGTTGAGAACTCAGATGTAATGGAGAAGAGATAACCCATCTCCACTCTGCTCTGTCTGAATTCCAAACATACTGAATCCATGAGCATAATAAAATGGTTATTGATCCACAACACCAAGCTATGGAGCAGTAAGTGACTGGAATAGATTCTACTAATTTGTTCTTTATATTACTTGTTTGTTTGTTTTTAGAGACATGGTCTTGCTCTGTCGTCCTCGCTGGAGTGCAGTGGTGCAATCATTGCTCACTGCAACCTTGAACTCTCGGGCTCAAGCAGTCCTCCCACTTCAGCCTCCCAAGAAGCTGGGACTACAGCTGCACACCACCACCACACCCAATTTATTTTTCATTTTAGTCCATCCTTTAATCCATCAGTATTTTCTTTTCCATATTCCATTCTATTCCATTTTTATTTTATTTCTATTCCATCTTTCAAAGCCTTGTATATTATACAGGATTTCACTCCAAATTCCATTCTGTTATATTCAATCATGCTATTTCTAAATCTATAGTGCATGTTTTATAGTCCATTTATTTCACGCCATTGCATTTTTTGTTCCATTTTATATTTTTCTTCTATTTATTTTCAGTTTTCTTTAAAATTTTATTTCACTCTATATTCCATTTTATTCCTCTTCTCATATAACATTGCATCTTTTCTTTTATTCCATACACCATTCAATATACTTTCATTCCCCTTTCCATTCCATTTTCCCACTGTATTCCATTCAATTTCTATTGTATTCAATTTTCCATTTCATAGCCTGTTAAAGTCCATATTCTATTCCTTATTTCTTTCTAGTTTCCACTGTAACCAGTCTCCATTTTATGCCATTCTTCATTACATTTCAAATCAAGTTTCCATTTCATATTATCTAACATTCCAAATACTATTCCATTCTATTTTGTGTTCTTTGCAATTTCTTTTGTTTGTTTGATTGATTTTTTAAAAATTCAATAGTTTGGGGAGTACAGGTGGGTTTTGGTTATATAGATAATTTCTTTAGTGGTGATTTCTGAGAATTCAGTGCATGCATCACCCAAGCAGTATACATTGCAGTTAATTATGTAGTCTTTTATCCCTCAGCCTCCTCTCAATCGTCTCCCTTGAGTCCCCAAAGTCCATTATATTGCTCTTATGCCTTTGCATCTTCGTAGCTTAGCTCCCACTTAAAAGTGAAAACATGCAATATTTGGCTTTCCATTCATGAATTATTTCACTTATAATAATGGCCTCCCGGAGGTTGCAGGGAGCCAAGATTGCACCACTGCACTCCAGCCTGGGCGATAGAGCAAGACTCCGCCTCAAAAATAATAATAATAATAGCGTCCTCCAACTCCATCCAATTTGATGCAAAAGACATTATTTTGTTCCTTTGTACAGTTGAGTAGTATTCCATGATGTATATAAACCACATTTTCTTTATCCACTCATTGGTTGATGGGCACTTATGTTGGTTCCATATCTTTGAAATTATGAATTGTGCTGCTATAAACATGTGTGTGCATGTGTTTTTTTTCATATAATGTCTTCTTTTTCTTTGAGGAGATACCTAGTAGTGGGATTGCTGAGTTGAATGGTAGTTCTAATTTTGCTTCTTTAAGGAATCACCATACTGTTTTCAGTTTCTCATCCATCCTACTAAACATCCCATTGCATTTTGCCAAAATTGTTATAACAGTGAGTTTTAGGAGAACAGCTAACTAATATTTTTATCCAAGATTTACATACTGTATTGCCTTATATGAAGAATTTTAACTTCTGGGAATTTATCCACGACAAGAACCAAATGAGAATATGAACACATTTTCGCAAGAAGGGTATGTGTCACAGTACTGTGTTAGAGAGTGAAAATTTGGAGACAACATAAATGTTGGAAATATAAGAATGTTTGAAAATATACGCTTCCTCTATAAATGGAATATTTCTAGTTACAAAACGACCTTGTGTAAATGTATTATTTGACATGGAAAGTATGATCTTTTGTAAAGTGTGTAATCCAAAACACAGATTAAAAAACAATATGCATGGATAAATAATTCTATTTTCATAAACAAAACAAAAACTTAAAACATGTATAAATAGCTATTCTGCCAATATTTAATTAAACATTTTCAGTAACTGTCTATGAGTGTGTGGGAATTTAGGTGCTAATTTTCTTACATTTGCTTTTCTGCTTTGGGTACTAAGTATGCAAACTTTTTGTAGTAATGACTAAAAATAAGTATCCAAATATTAAATTTCAAGCCTGTACATCACAGCATATTTATATTAATAGAAACTAGACATGTTTTCCAAGAATGGAGAGTATGTACAATAAATTAAGGCACATTTATCCCTGGATTACTATGCAGCCCATACAAATGTCGATGGATGTTTAAGAAAAGTACCACCTTTAATCACAGGTAATGTCTGTGCATGCCTCAGGGGTCCAGGCAAGCAGAAGCATCTTTCCAGAATTTCTAAATTCCCCTCTGGTACCTGAGACCTGCAGGAGACAGCAGTGCCTCCTCATTTTGACCTGCTCTTCAACCCTTCTATCCACCCCAGTAGAGCTTGAGGTAATCCAAAGGCCAGGAGAAGTCCTGGGGCTGTCCCCTCTGGGGTCATCCATGGGCATAGTGTTGTGATCATATTCCATTGGGGAACTGCTTGCTGGGGGACATCTTTTGTTGACCAATGTGGAATTTCTTTCAGGAGATTGCTTAAGATTGAGCCACTAGAATGGCACTGACATGCTGATTTTGGTCGCTCAAACTGTTTATAACCCTAGCCCCCCAACACACACACACTTTTAGGGGTTATGTTTAAAAATCAGGAAATTTACATTATTGATCAGGCTGGGGCAGACCACAGAGGGCTGGCTCACACCCTTCTGTCTGATGTCAGTGGGAACTGGATTGGACCTCTGTGAAGATGAGAAGAGTTACATGATATATAGCTCAACAGTCAGAAGCAAAAATTCAACCAAGTTCTGCCTACCCTGCCTTGATCTTCTAGTCCTGGCTCTACTTGTGTTTACAGCAGTGTTTCTCTCTCTAAGAACCTGATATTATGGCTATCCAGTCATACTGGGAGAAGGAGCAGCAGTTGAAATTCATGCAAGTTGAAGTGACCAGAAGGACTAAGAATGAGGTTGTCCCTGCCACTATTGATGCCAGCAAGAGCAGCAACCTAGATCCTGTTTCCCAGATTCCTCTAAGTCTCAAGTGACCTGATGTCCTTGAGTTCCAAACCCAGCAGCATGGAAGCTTTCTCTACCACAGCCTTTATTTCTATCATTGTTGTGAACCCTCTGATGGTTAATATTAGGTGTCAACTTGACTGCATTGAGGAATGCGTAGATGGCTGGTGAAGCACTATTTCTTGGTGTATCTGTAAGGATGATTTCAGAGGAGATCGATATGCAAGTCAGTGAACTGAAAGAGAAAGACCTCACTCTTAATGTGGGCAAGCACCACTCAATCAGTTGCCAGTGTTGCTAGAACAAAGCAAGAAGAAGGGTAGTATTCAGCATTCAGCTTGCTGAGTTTTCTCTCTCTCTTTCTGTCTCTATGTCTTCCCAAACAGGACGCTATCTCTCCTACTGTCCTTGGACACAAGACTCCAAGTTCTTTGGGCTTTGGACTCTGGGACTTGCACCAGTGGCCTCCAGGGGCTTTCAGGCATTCTGCCTCAAACTGGAGCTGCATTGTAGGCTTCCCCAGTTTTGAGACTTTTGGGCTTGTACCGAACAATGTTACCAACATTCCCCATCTTGCAGGTGACCTGTCATGGGACTTCACCTTTCTAATTGTGTGAGCCAATTCTCCATAATAAACTCATTTATATAAATATATATATGAGTGTTTGTGTGTATATATAAAATATAAACACATATATACACACATATTTGCATACACATACACAAATAGATATGTATGTTTGAGAATATATATGTGGATTTAGTATACATATGTGTGTATATAGTATATGTATATGCACACACTCAAACATATATATATTTTTGTGTATGTATATGTGTATATGTGTGTGTGTGTGTGTGTGTGAATCCTATTGGTTCTGTCCCTCTAGAGAACCCTGACTGTTACAGATTTTGGTAACAGGAGTGATTTTAAGAAATAGAATTTTAAGCATGAATTTTCATAATTGGTTTGAGAGTTTCTGGAATTGGTTCTTGATATGGTTTGGCTCTGTGTCCCCACCTAAATCTCATCTCGAATTGTAATCCCCATAATCACAATGTGTTGAGGGAGGGACTTGTTGGGAGGTGATTGGATCGTGGGTGCAGTTTCCCACATGCTGTTCTCGTGATAGTGAGTGAGTTCTCACGAGATCTGATGGTTTTATAAGTGTTTGATAATTCCTCCTTCACACACTCTCCTCTCTCCTGCCACCTTGTAAAGAGGGTGCCTGCTTCCCCTTCCACCAAACTCACAATCAGCCAAGGAATCATCTGTTTCCTAGAACTTCCAAGGCCTCTGGAAGAGGTCTGAGCCTTTGCTGACATCTTCTGTAAGGTCTCAGCACAGCAGCTGAGTCTGAGGTCTGGCAGCCCAACAAGGCTCTGTCCTCCAAGGCCATGATTAACAACCAGGCCCTGCTCTCCTCAATCACACCAACATGCCAGGCCCTGTTCTTCAAAGCCATGGATCACAGACAGGCCCTGCCTTTAGAAGCCATGCCCCCCAACTAGGCCCTTCTACAGCTGGCACTGCACAGGGATGACTAGCCCTCCACACTCACCCTTTTGTACCTGAGCCTGCTGTCCTGAATCCCGTTTTTCCTGTTGGGTTTGCCTTTTGAAGGCTTGTCTTCAGAGTCTTTCCATCTCTCTTGGTCTTGAGGTCCTATGTGTTGCCTCCCAGCTGGTGATGCCATTTGAGTTAATGTCACTTTATCTTCACATCCTGGTAAATTCTCCTTTCTTTATTCTGGGCAAAGTGGTAGAAACCTCTTATTCTCTCTAAAGTTTCTTAGTCTGAGTCACTCCTCCTCCTCCCCTTATAATGCCTTATCATGCTTTTTTTTTTCCCCTCACTCCAACTCCAGCCTGTCCCTCCTAGAATTAGGCATGCCTTGCTACCCTGAGCCCTGCCTCTCCAAAACTGCAAACCCAAATAGAGGGTACATCTGCCCCTACGTTGTCTGTGCTATGACCTTCAAGGAGCAGCTTCCAAGACCCAAAGATGGTATCATGTGCAAGAATGGAGGTCACAGACATCCTAGAGGATAATACAGCAGGAAGTGCATGGGTGTATGTAGTGTTCATCTTAGGGGATGTTTTAGCAGCAGGATATCTACATTCATCATTCATCTACTGTGTTAAGTGGATTGTCCACTCAATGGTTACCTGTGGGGTTTCTAAGAGTTCTCCTAGCCACAGGCAACATTATGGGAAGTTTTAAAACCTCTCCTCCCCTTCCCATGACTCAGCCACTCAGCACTTACCTGCGATTGACCCTTGATTCTAGGTCCCCTGCTCCCTCAAAGGGCCTACCTTGGCCCTTGAGCTGAAATTTCCCTTTTTTAAGTTGCCTTTTATAGAAAAAAGTCTTAATAAATAAAATTAAGTATAAAATATTTCCTGATTCCAGTCCAAAAATTTAATTTTCTGGCAGAAGATTAACAAAAAATGTAGTCACCATTCAAGTGGACACTAAGGAAGAGAGAGAGAGAGTAAAATCTTATCCCAGAAATATTTATTGGCTCTATTTGAAATAGAGTTTTGACCATGAAATTCCCATTTAGACCCTTCATACCATCTTAGCACACATAATTTGCCACTCGGACAAGAAAAACAGCAGAGTTTATCCAAATGTGTTTGGAGAAAGAAAGGAATGGTGGAGGTATCCAGGGTCAAGAAGTCAAGGTTATGTGGGGGTAGGGAGGGCGGTGAGAGGATAACCCAGACTCAGAATCATAAAGGAAGAGACAGTAAGGGTCAGAAGACTGAGGGGCAAAGATCTCAGTTTTTAGGGGATGAAAATGTTTACATGTGAGAACAGGTGCTCCTGAGGTCTGCAGGTGTTGGAGGAGACTAGGGCAGTGATTCTAGTTTAATAATTGATGTAGAAAAGTGGTCAGGTATTAAGTTAAAAAATGTTAATGGTTAATCTCATTTTTTAAAAAGTAGTTGTGTCTGAGATTGTGAACATACACATGAGAGTGTGTGTGTTTGTGTGTGTGTTTAGACATGTTTGAAAAAAATTGAATGGGTGTACACCATGCTGTGAACAAAGTATATACCCAGTTGTTGAAATACTGATGAGGAAGTCTTATATTTTATTTTCCACATTTTCCACCTTGATCATATCACTACTTCCATGATGAGACCCAACTGAGCTGTTTTTCAAATAATTAAGTTGTGGAGATATGGTAGAAGTTGTGGAGACATTCACCTTAAAGTGAATGGAATGAAAAAAATATTTAAAAAAAAAACAACAGAATGAACTCTTTCTCTCTCCTTTCCTATATTTCTGCTCTCTTTTCTTTTGGTTTTTTGGTATGTAGCCTGAATTGGCACTAGACCTGGCCAAAAAGGTCCCTGGTCCTGAGTCCCTTATTTTAGAGACTCCTTCTCAGAATCTCCTCATGCTACATTTCATCCCAGAAATAGGATCCCACAGAGACGAGAATGAGTTCCTCAGGTCCTGACACTCTGCCAATTTTGTAGAAAAATATCAGACACTCTAATTCTTTTAGAATACTTCCAAAGCCAGTGAGGACCTATTCTCAAAGTTCTGCCTAAGGAAGGAAGAGCTGGGCCTAAATATGCTCAATACTAGACACAAAATGTGGCCAAGTGGCCACTGTTTGTGCGAGCACTGTTTGTGGGAGGTATGGGTTAAGACAGATTCAGGGTTAGGTATGAAGGGCTGCATAGTGTAGTATATAGCTGGCATGGAAAGAGGAGATCCAAGACATGCGCCAGGGGATTAAACATTTAAATCTAAGACCTCAAGCTATGAAACTACTACACAAAATGTTGAGAAAAAATGTCCAGGACATTTGTCTGGGTAAAAATTTCTTAAGCAATACCCCTCAAGCACAGGCAATCATAGCACAAATGAACAAATAGGATAACATTAAGTTAAAAAGCTTCTGCACAGTAAAAGATACAATCAACAAAGTGAAGAGTCAGCCCACAGAATGGGAAAAATACTTGCAAACTACACATCTGATAAGTGGTTGTAATCCAGAATATATAAGGAGCTCAAACAACTCTATAGGAAAAAATCTAATAATTAGATCAGAAAATGGGCATATTTGAATAGACATTCCTCAAAAGAAGACATACAAATGGCAAACACACATATGAAAAGGTGCTCATTTATCATCTGAGAAATGTACATCAAAACTACAGTGAGTTATCATCTCACCCCAATTAACATGGCTTATATCCAAAAGACAATCAATAACACATGTTGGTGATAATGTGAAGAAAAGGAAATCTTTGTATACTGTTGGTAGGAATGTAAATTAGTATAACCACTATAAAGACAGTTTGAAGTTTCCTCAAAAAACTAAAAATTGAGCTACCATATTATCCAGCAACCCCACTGTGGTATATATACCCGAAAGAAAGGAAATCAAGATATTGAAGAGATATCTGCACTCCTATGTTTGTTGCAGCACTGTTTACTATAGCTAAGATTTGGATGCAACCTAAGTGTCCATCAACAGATGAATGGATAAGGAAAATGTGGTACATATACACAATGGAATACTACTTAGCCCTAAAAAATAATGAGATCCTATCATTTGCAACAACATGGATAGAACTAGAGATCATTATGTTAAGTGAAATAAGTCAGGTACATAAACACAAACATCGTATGTTCTCACTTATTTGTTGGATCTAAAAGTCAAAACAATTGAACTTGTAGGCATAGAGAGCAAAAGGTTGGTTACCAGAGGCTGAGAAGGGTAGTGGGGGCCTGGCGGGAGGTGGGGATGGTTAATGGGTAAAAAAAAAAAAATAGAAAGAATGAATAAGACCTACTATTTGATAGAGCAACTGGGTGACTATAATCAATTATAACCTAATTGTACATCTTAAAATAATTTAATGACTGTAATTGCATTGTTTCTACCTCAAAGGATAAATGCTTGAGGGGACAGATACTCCAGTCTCCATGATGTGCTTATTTCACATTGCATGCATGTATCAAAATATCCCATGTTTCACTTAAAATTATACAACTACTATGTACCCACAAAAAATAAAAAATAAAATTAAAATACGTTTAAAAATAGTGCTGCTATGAACATAAATGTACAATTTATGTTTGAACATCTGTTTTAATTATTTTGATTATATACCCCAAATTAGAAATTATGGTTCATATGGTAATTCTCTAACTTCTTGAGAACCCATCAAACTTTCCACAGTGGCTGCACCATTTTACATTTTCGCCAGAAATGCATGTGTGTTCTACATTCTCCATATCCTCACCAAAACTTATTATTTCCCTTTTTTAATCATAGCTATCCCCTTTAGTGCCAAAAGATATCTTATTCTGGTTTAGATTTGTTTCCATTAAGGACTAAGTACTTTGAGTAATTTTTTCATGTGCTTGTTTGTCATTTGCATATGCTGTTTGAAGAAATGCCTATTTAAACTTTTTGCCCATTTTTAAAATTAGGTTTTTGTTATTTTATTGTTGAGTTATAAGCACTCATTATATATTATGGATATAAGAACGTTATTAGATATACGATTTGCAAATTTTTTTTTCTTTAGATGGAGTCTTGCTCTGTCACCCAAGGTGGAGTGCAGTGGCGTGATCTTGGCTCACTGCAACCTCCACCTCCCGGGTTCAAGAGATTCTCCTGCCTCAGCCTCCTGGCAAATAGTTTATCCTATCTTGTGGATTGCCCTTTTACTCTGTTGATAGTATCCTTGATGTATGAAAGTTTTAATTTTGATGAAGTTCAATTTAATTATTGTGTTATTGCTTATGCTTTGAGTGCCATATTTAAAAAACCATTGCCAAATCCAAGGTTGTAAAGATCTGCCAGTATATTTTCTTCTAAGAGTTTTATATTTTTAGTTCTTACATTTAGGTCTTTGATCTATTTATAATTAATTATTGTATGTGGTGTGAAGTAAGGATTAAACTTTATTCTTTTACCTGTGGATATCCAGTTGACCCAGCATCATTTGTTAAATAAATAATTATTTCTCCATTGAATGGACTTGGTACCCTTGTCAAAAATTATTTAATCATAAATATATGGGTTTATTTCTGGACTCTCAATTTTATTCTATTTTGTTGGTCTATATGTCTTTTCTTATGCTGGTACCATATGGATTTTTTTTTTTTACTTTAGTTTTGTAGTAAAGTTTTCAAAACAAAAAGTGTCAGAACACCAACTTTATTCTTCTTTTAATTTTTTTTTTTTGTATACTGGGTCCCCCACACTTTAATATAAATTTTAGGATCAGGTTTTCCATTTCTTCAATAAAGATCATTTGTATTTTTAAAATAATTACATTAAATATGTACCTTGCTTTGGGAAGTTTTGTCATCTAAATAATATTAAATGTTCTAATTCATGAACATGTCATGTCTTCTCATTTATTTAGGTCTTCTTTAATTCTTTCAACAGTTTTTGAAGTTTTCAGTGTACAAGTCTTGCACATATTCAGTTCAATTCATTTCTATATATTTCATTATTTTTGATGCTACTGTCAATGAAACTTTTAAAACTTTTACTTCGGCATTTTTCAGTGATGATATATAGAAATACAGCTGATTTTTGCATGTTGACTTTGTTTTTTGTTTTCTTTATTTCTTCTAAAGGAAAAAAAACGGGATACGTGTGAAGAACATGCGGGTGTGATACATAGGTATACGTGTGCCATGGTGGATTGCTGAACCTATTGACCCGTCCTCTAATTCCCTCCCCTCATCCCCCACCCCCTAAAAGGCCCTGGTGTGTGTTGTTGCCCTCCCTGTGTCCATGTATTCTCAATGTTCAACTCCCACTTATGAGTGAGAACATGCGGTGTTTGGCTTTCGGTCCCTGTGTTAGTTGCTGAGGATGACGGCTTCCAGCTTCATCCATGTCCCTGCAAAGGACATGATCTCATTCCTTTTTATGGCTGCATAGTATTCCATGGTGAATATGTACCATAGTTTCTTTATCCAGTCTATCATTGATGGGCATTTAAGTTGGTTCCATGTCTTTGCTATAGTAAATAGTGCTTTAGTAAACATACATATGCATTTGTCTTTATAGTAGAATGATTTATATTCCTTTGGGTATATACCCAGTAATGGGATTACTAGGTCAAATGGTATTTCTGGTCCTAGATCCTTGAGGAATTGCCACACTGTCTTCCACAATGGTTGAACTAATTTACATTCCCACCAACAGTGTAAAAGCTTTTCTGTTTCTTCCTAGCCTTGCCAGCATCTATTGTTTACTATTTTTTAATAATCTCCATTCTGACTGGCATGAGATGATATCTCATTGTGGTTTTGATTTGCATTTTTCTGATGATCAGTGATGTTGAGCTTTTTTTCATATGTTTGTTGACATCGTAAATGTCTTCTTTTGAGAAGTGTCTGTTCATATCCTTTGCCCACATTTTGATGAGGTCATTCAATTTTTTCTTGTAAATACATTTAAGTTGCTTGTAAATTCCGGATATTAGACCTTCATCAGATGGGCAGATTGCAAAATTTTCTCTCATTCTGTAGGTTGCCTGTTCACTCTGATGATAGTTTCTTTTGCTGTGCAGAAGCTCTTTAGTTTAGTTAGATCCCATTTGTCAATTTTGGCTTTTGTTGCCATTACTTTTGGTGTTTTTGTCATGAAGTCTTTCCCTGTGCCTATGTCCTGAATGGTATTGCCTAGGTTTTCTTCTAGAGTTTTTATGGTTTTGGGTTTTACATTTAAGTCTTTAATTCATCTTGAGGTAATTTTTGTATAAGGTCTAAACAAGGGGTCCAGTTTGAGTTTTCTGCATATGGCTAACCAATTTTCCCAGCACCATGTACTGAATAGGAGATCCTTTCCCCATTGCTTGTTTTTGTCAGGTTTTTCAAAAATCAGATGGTGGTAGATGTGTGATGTTATTTCTGAGGTCTCTGTTCTGCTCCATTTGTCTATATGTCTGTTTTGGTACCAGTACCATGCTGTTTTGTTTACTGTAACCTTGTAGTATAGTTTGAAGTCAGGTAGCATGATGCCTCCAGCTTGGTCTTTTTGTTTAGGATTTTCTTAGCTATATGGGGTCTTCTTTGATTCCACATAAAATTTAAAATAGTTTTTTTCTAATTCTGTGAAGAAGGTCAATGGTAGTTTGATGGGAATAGCATGAAATCTATAAATTACTTTGGGCAGTATGGCCATTTTCATGATACTGATTGTTCTTATCCATGAGGATGGAATGTTTTTCCATTTGTTTGTGTCCTCTCTTATTTCCTTGAGCAGTAGTTTGTAGTTCTTCTTGAAGAGGTCTTTCACATCCCTTGTTAGCTGTATTGCTAGGTATTTTATTCTCTTTGTAACAACTGTGAATGGGGAGTTCGTTCATAATTTGGCTCTCTGCTTGCCTATTGCTGGCATAAAGGAATGCTTGTGATTTTTGCACATTGGAGACTTTGCTGAAGCCCAGGACCGGACGGACTCACAGCTGAAGTCTACCAGAAATACAAAGAGGAGCTGGTACCATCCCTTCCGAAACTATTCCAAACAATTGAAAAAGAAGGACTCCTCCTTAACTCATTTTATAAAGCCTGCATCATCGTGATACCAAAACCGGAAGAGACACAACAAAAAAAGAAAACTTCAGGCCAATATCCCTGATGAATTATATTGTTTTATGCCTTTGTATTTTAAGTCATATAAGCATAAATTAGGAATTACAAACTGAAAGCACAATAATACTGGCTTTTTAAATTACCTATGCAGTTACATTTACTGGTATTATTTTTGTAACTTTTATTTTAGTTTCAGGGGTATATGTGCAGGTTTGTTACATAGGTAAATTGCATGTCTTGGGGGTTTGGTGTACAGATTATTACACAGGTAATAAGCACAGTACCCTATAGGTATTCTTTATTTCTTTATATGGCTTTGAGTTACTGTATAGTGAACTTTTCGTTTTAGCCTGAAAAAAAAAATCCTTTTGGTATTTCTTGTAGGAAAAATCTACTAGCAAGAATCTTCCTCAGCTTTTGTTTATCTGGGCATGTTTTAATTTCTCCATCATTTTTGAAGCATAGCCTTAAAATGCAGTGTTCCTGGTTAAAACTGTTTTTTCTTTCAGCACTTCAAATATTTTTCCACTGCTTTATAGTTTCTATTGTTTCTGATGAGAAAGAAGCTGCTGCTAATCTTATTGAGGATCCCTTATAAGTGATGAGTCATTTCTCTCTTGTTGCTTCCAAGAATGTCTTTTTTTTCTTTGGCTTTTTACAGTTTCATTATAATGTGCCTCAGTGGGGACCTCTTTAATTTTATCTTTTGTGTATTAATTGAGCTGCTTGGAAGAGAAGATTTGTGTCTTTCATCAGATTTGTGAAGTAGAGGCTCATTATTTAAATAATTAAAATATTGTGAATATTCTTATTTAAATAAAAATTATTTTTATTTAATAAACCTATGATTTCTATCAAGAAAATTAAAATCTGCTGCTGCCCCTGATGTAAGATTCTAAAACATTTCTATCTTTGCATTCAGTAACACTGCTAGACAAATGATGGACAATATTACTAATGTATGTCTCTTCCAGGGAAAAAATTTTGATGTTTCTTTCTATTATATTATTGTTACAGAATTACTATACTGTGTGTGTGTGTGTGTGTGTGTGTGTTGGTTGTGTGTGTGTGTGTGTGAGAGAGAAAGAGAGAGAGACCAAGAAATTGAGAGAGGTAAATATAAAATTATAATAAAAGGTAGTATGTGTTACAATAACAATAGAACAGAACGAAGAACAAGAACCTCACACCAAATGTGCAGTGGTATAACTCGACAGAATATGTGAATGGGGAAAGAGGAGGAGTCCTGCCTCACCAATGCAGTGGTGTAATTACACAGTGAATGTTAGCTGACCAAAGAGAAAAAAAATAAGCAGCCTAATTGGTACAGTGCTATAACTTGACAGCAAATGTGAATGTGGCAGGAGTCCTGCATCATCATAGAAGTTATGTAACTGGACAGGGCATGTGAATGGGGAAAAGAAGCACCTTGAACATTTATGTTGTAGTGTAACTAAATAGATGACATGATCATGGAGTGTAGAAAAAGCCAGACACCATCACTGTAGTGCTAAGGGACAGGAGATGTGAATGGGGAAAAGAAGAGCACTCATGATAGCACAACAGAGTGAATATAGTCAATAACAATTTAATTGTACATTTTAAAATAAAGAGTGTAATTGGATTATTTGTAACACAAAGGATAAATGCTTGAAGTGTTGGATGCTCCATTTACCCTGCTGTGATCATTAACATTGTATGCCTGTATCAAAAGATTTTATATACTCCATAACTATATACACCTAGTATATACTCACAAAAATTAAAAATTAAAAAAGAGTACCTAAATGCCTGTACAATATAATTAGTGGAGAAAAGAAAAGACCAAAAAGGTAGTCCTACACCATTAGTAAAATGGGATATCTAGGTATATAATGTGAATAGGGCAAGGAGACGAGCCTCGACTTATAAATGCATTGTGTAACTAGGCAGAGGATGTGAACAGTGATAAAAGAAAATCTTCAGCCGAATTAAATTTATAGGACTTTAATTGAGCAATGAACAACACACAAATCAGGCAGCCCCCAGAATCACAGCAGATTCAGAGATTCCAGTGCAGGCACATGGCGAAAGAAGATTTATAGACAAAAAAAGGGAAATGACATACAGAAATTGGAGGTGAGGTACAGAATGGCTGGATTGGTTACAGCTTAGCATTTGCTTTATTTGAACACAGTTTGAACACTCAGCAATGTATGAATGGTTAAAGTATGGCCACTGGGTTTGGCCAAGACTTAGTGATTGTTACAGGTACATACTTCTGAGTTAGGTTTTCAATCTTGTCTACTATTTTTTTCTCTTTTTTTTCGAATTATACTTTAAGTTTTAGGGTACATGTCTACAAAGTGCAGGTTTGTTACATATGTATACATGTGCCATGCTGGTGTGCTGCACCCATTAACTCGTTGTTTAACATTAGGTATATCTCCTAATGCTATCCCTCCCCCCTCCCCCAACCCCACAACAGGCCCCAGTGTGTGATGTTCCCCTTCCTGTGTCCATGTGTTCTCATTGTTCAATTCCCACCTATAAGTGAGAACATGCGGTGTTTGGTTTTTTGTCCTTGCGATAGTTTGCTGAGAATGATGGTTTCCAGCTTCATCCATGTCCCTACAAAGGACATGAACTCATCATTTTTTATGGCTGCAAAGTATTCCATGGTGTGTATATGCCACATTTTCTTAATCCAGTCTATCATTATTGGACATTTGGGTTGGTTCCAAGTCTTTGCTATTGTGAATAGTGCCGAAATAAACATATGTGTGCATGTGTCTTTATAGCAGCATGATTTATAATCCTCTGGGTATATACCCAGTAATGGGATGGCTGGGTCAAATGGCATTTCTAGTTCTAGATCCCTGATGAATCACCACACTGACTTCCACAATGGTTGAACTAGTTTACAGTCCCACCAACAGTGTAAAAGTGTTCCTATTTCTCCATATCCTCTCCAGCGTCTGTTGTTTCTAGACTTTTGAATGATCGCCATTCTACCTGGTGTGAGATGGTATCTCATTGTGGTTTTGATTTGCATTTCTCTGATGGCCAGTGATGATGAGCATTTTTTCATGTGTCTTTTGGCTGCATAAATGTCTTCTTTTGAGAAGTGTCTGTTCATATCCTTTGCCCACTTTTTGATGGGGTTGTTCGTTTTTTTCTTGTAAATTTGTTTGAGTTCTTTGTAGATTCTGGATATTAGCCCTTTGTCAGATGAGTAGGTTGCAAAAATCTTCTCCCATTCTGTAGGTTGCCTGTTCACTCTGATGGTAGTTTCTTTTGCTGTGCAGAAGCTCTTTAGTTTAGTTAGATCCCGTTTGTCAATTTTGGCTTTTGTTGCCATTGCTTTTGGTGTTTTAGACATGAAGTCCTTGCCCATGCCTATGTCCTGAATGGTATTGCCTACGTTTTCTTCTAGGGTTTTTATGGTTTTGAGTCTAACATTTAAGTCTTTAATCCATCTTGAATTAATTTTTGTATAAGGTGCAAGGAAGGGATCCAGTTTCAGCTTTCTACATATGGCTAACCAGTTTTGCCAGCAACATTTATTAAATAGGGAATCCTTTCTCATTTCTTGTTTTTGTCAGGTTTGTCAAAGATCAGATAGTTGTAGATATGTGGCATTATTTCTGAGGGCTCTGTTCTGTTCCATTGGTCTATATCTCTGTTTTGGTACCAGTACCATGCTGTTTTGGTTACTGTAGCCTTGTAGTATAGTTTGAAGTCAGGTAGCATGATGCCTCCAGCTTTGTTCTTTTGGCTTAGGATTGACTTGGCGATGTGGGCTCTTTTTTGGTTCCCTATGAACTTTAAAGTAGTTTTTTCCAATTCTGTGAAGAAAGTCATTGGTAGCTTGATGGGGATGGCATTGAATCTATAAATTACCTTGGGCAGTATGGCTATTTTCACAATATTGATTCTTCCTATCCATGAGCATGGAATGTTCTTCCATTTGTTTTTGTCCTCTTTTATTTCGTTGAGCAGTGGTCTGCAGTTCTCCTTGAAGAGGTCCTTCACATCCCTTGTAAGTTGGATTCCTAGGTATTTTATTCTCTTTGAAACAATTATGAATGGGAGTTCACTCATGATTTGGCTCTCTGTTTGTCTGTTATTGGTGTATAAGAATGCTTCTGATTTTTGCACATTGATTTTGTATCCTGAGACTTTGCTGAAGTTGCTTATCAGCTTAAGGAGATTTTGGGCTGAGATGATGGGGTTTTCTGGATATACAATCATGTCATCTGAAAACTGGGACAATTTGACTTCCTCTTTTCCTGATTGAATACACTTTATTTCTTTCTCCTGCCTGATTGCCCTGGCCAGAACTTCCAACACTATGTTGAATAGGAGTGGTGAGAGAGGGCATCCTTGTCTTGTGCCAGTTTTCAAAGCGAATGCTTCCAGTTTTTGTCCATTCAGTATGATATTGGCTGTGGGTTTGTCATAAAAAGCTCTTATGTTTTTGAGATACATCCCATCAATACCTAATTTATTGAGAGTTTTTAGCATGAAGGGCTGTTGAATTTTGTCAAAGGCCTTTTCTGCATCTATTGAGATAATCATGTGGTTTTTGTCTTTGGTTCTGTTTATATGCTGGATTACGTTTTTTGATTTGCATATGTTGAACCAGCCCTGCATCCCAGGGATGAAGCCCACTTGATCATGGTGGATAAGCTTTTTGATGTGCTGCTGGATTCGGTTTGCCAGTATTTTATTGAGGATTTTTGCATCGATGTTCATCAGGGATATTGGTCTAAAATTCTCTTTTTTTGTTGTGTCTCTGCCAGGCTTTGATATCAGTATGATACTGGCCTCATAAAATGAGTTAGGAAGTATTCCCTCTTTTTCTATTGTTTGGAATAGTTTCAGAAGGAATGGTACCAGCTCCTCCTTGTACCTCTGGTAGAATTTGCCTGTGAATCCATCTGGTCCTGGACTTTTTTTGATTGGTAAGCTATTAATTATTGCCTCAAGTTCAGAGCCTGTTATTGGTCTATTCAGGGATTCAAATTCTTCCTGGTTTAGTCTTGGGAGGGTGTATGTGTCGAGGAATTTATCCATTTCTTCTAGATTTTCTAGTTTATTTGCGTAGAGGTGTTTATAGTATTCTCTGATGGTAGTTTGTATTTCTGTGGGATCGATGGTGATATCCCCTTTATCATGTTTTATTGTGTCTATTTGATTCTTGTCTCTTTTCTTCTTTAGTGGTCTTGCTAGCAGTCTATCAATTTTGTTGATCCTTTCAAAAAACCAGCTCCTGGATTCATTGATTTTTTTGAAGGGTTTTTTGTGTCTCTATCTCCTTCAGTTCTGCTCTGATCTTAGTTATTTCTTGCCTTCTGCTAGTTTTTGAATGTGTTTGCTCTTGCTTCTCTAGTTCTTTTAATTGTGATGTTAGGGTGTCAATTTTAGATCTTTCCTGCTTTCTCTTGTGGGCGTTTAGTGCTATAAATTTCCCTCTACACACTGCTTTAAATGTGTCCCAGAGATTCTGGTATGTTGTGTCTTTGTTCTCTTTGGTTTCAAAGAACATTTTTATTTCTGCCTTCATTTCGTTATGTACCCAGTAGTCATTCAGGAGCAGGTTGTTCAGTTTCCATGTAGTTGAGCAGTTTTGAGCAAGTTTCTTAATCCTGAGTTCTAGTTTGATTGCACTGTGGTCTGAGAGACAGTTTGTTATAATTTCTGTTCTTTTACATTTGCTGAGGAGTGCCTTACTTCCAACTATGTGGTCAATTGTGGAATAGGTGCAGTGTGGTGCTGAGAAGAATGTATATTCTGTTGATTTGGGGTGGAGAGTTCTGTAGATGTCTATTAGGTCCACTTGCTGCAGAGCTGAGTTCAATTCCTGGATATCCTTGTTAACTTTCTGTCTCGTTGATCTGTCTAATGTTGACAGTGTGGTGTTAAAGTCTCCCATTATTATTGTGTGGGAGTCTAAGTCTCTTTGTAGGTCTCTAAGGACTTGCTTTATGAATCTGAGTGCTCCTGTGTTGGGTGCATATATATTTAGGATAGTTAGCTCTTCTTGTTGAATTGATCCCTTTACCATTATGTAATGGCCTTCTTTGTCTCTTTTGATCTTTGTTGGTTTAAAGTCTGTTTTATCAGAGACTAGGATTGCAACCCCTGCCTTTTTTTGTTTTCCATTTGCTTGGTAGATCTTCCTCCATCTTTTTATTTTGAGCCTATGTGTGTCTCTGCATGTGAGATGGGTTTCCTGAATACAGCACACTGATGGGTCTTGACTCTTTATCCAATTTGCCAGTCTGTGTCTTTAAATTGGAGCATTTAGCCCATTTACATTTAAGGTTAATATTGCTACGTGTGAATTTGATCCTGTCATCATGTTAGCTGGTTATTTTGCTCGTTAGTTGATGCAGTTTCTTCCTAGCCTTGACGATCTTTACAATTTGGCATGTTTTTGCAGTGGCTGGTACCAGTTGTTCCTTTCCATGTTGAGTGCTTCCTTCAGGAGCTCTTTTAGGGCAGGCCTGGTGTGACAAAATCTCTCAGCATTTGCTTGTCTGTAAAGTATTTTATTTCTCCTTCACTTATAAAGCTTAGTTTGGCTGGATATGAAATTCTGGGTTGAAAATTCTTTTCTTTAAGAATGTTGAATATTGGCCCCCACTCTCTTCTGGCTTGTAGAGTTTCTGCTGAGAGATCCGCTGTTAGTCTGATAGGCTTCCCTTTGTGGGTAACCTGACCTTTCTCTTTGTCTGCCCTTAACATTTTTTCCTTCATTTCAACTTTGGTGAATCTGATACTTATGTGTCTTGGAGTTGCTCTTCTCGAGGAGTATCTTTGTGGTGTTCTCTGTATTTCCTGAATGTGAATGTTGGCCTGCCTTGCTAGGTTGGGGAAGTTCTCCTGGATAATATCCTGCAGCATATTTTCCAACTTGGTTCCATTCTCCCCGTCACTTTCAGGTACACCAATCAGACTTTCCACATAGTCCCATATTTCTTGGAGGTTTTGTTTGTTTCTTTTCATTCTTTTTTTCTCTAAACTTCTCTTCTTGCTTCACTTCATGCATTTAATCTTCAATCACTGATACCCTTTCTTCCAGTTAATCGAATCGGCTACTGAAGCTTGTGCATTTGTCACGTAGTTCTCTTGCCATGGTTTTCAGCTCCATCAGATGCTTTAAGGATTTCTCTGCATTGGTTATTCTAGTTAGCCATTCGTCTAATCTTTTTTCAGCATTTTTAACTTCTTTGCCATGTATTCAAACTTCCTCCTTTAGTTCGGAGAATTTTGATCATCTGAAGCCTTCTTCTCTCAACCCATCAAAGTCATTCTCCGTCCAGCTTTGTTCTGTTGCTGGTGAGGAGCTGTGTTCCTTTGAAGGAGGAGAGACACTCTGATTTTTAGAATTTTCAGTTTTTCTGCTCTGTTTTTTCCCCATCTTTGTGGTTTTATCTACCTTTGGTCTTTGATGATGGTGACGTACAGATGGGGTTTTGGTGTGGATGTCCTTTCTGTTTGTTAGTTTTCCTTCTAACAGTCAGGACCCTCAGCTGCAGGTCTGTTGGAGTTTGCTGGAGGTGCACTCCAGACCCTGTTTGCCTGGGTATCAGCAGCGAAGACTGCAGAACAGCAAATATTGCTGAACAGCAAATGTTGCTGTCTGATCGTTCCTCTGGAGGTTTCGTCTCAGAGGGGTACCCGGCTTTGTGAGGTGTCAGTCTGCCCCTACTGGGGGGTGCCTCCCAGTTAGGCTACTTGAGGGTCAGGGACCCACTTGAGGAGGCAGTCTGTCCGTTCTCAGATCTCAAACACTGTGCTGGGAGAACCACTACTCTCTTCAAAGCTGTCAGACAAGGACATTTAAGTCTGCAGAGGTTTCCGCTGCCTTTTGTTTGGCTATGCCCTGCCCCCAGTGGTGGAGTCTACAGAGCCAGGCAGGCCTCCTTGAGCTGCGGTGGGCTCCACCCAGTTTGAGCTTCCCGGCCGCTTTGTTTACCTACTCAAGCCTGGGCAATGGTGGGTGCCCCTCCCCCAGCCTCGCTGCCACCTTGCAGTTCAATCTCAGACTGCTGTGCTAGCAATGAGCTAGGCTCCGTGGGCATGGGACCCTCTGAGCCAGGCACGGGATATAATCTCTTGGTGTGCCGTTTGCCAAGACCATTGGAAAAGCACAGTATTAGGGTGGGAGTGACCCGATTTTCCAGGTGCCATCTGTCACAGCTTTGCTTGGCTATGAAAGGGGATTCCCTGACCCCTTGTGCTTCCCAGGGGAGGTGATGCCTTGCCCTGCTTTGGCTCACGCTCGGTGCACTGCACCCACTGTCCTGCACCCACTGTCCAACAAGCCCCAGTGAGATGAACCTGGTACCTCAGTTGGAAATGCAGAAATCACCCGTCTTCTGCGTCGCTCACGCTGAGAGCTGTAGACTGGAGCTGTTCCTATTTGGCCATCTTGGAACCGCCCCTCCAAGTGTACTATTGATTTTTCTCAGTAAAAGTAAACATATACTGAGAGTCAGAATGGAGGCAGATAATGACAAATGGAGAGCGTAGGTCTATTACCAAACAATGAGTTTTGTCCAGGGGTTTGTTTGCTAAGATAGTGATAGGGCTGGGAATCAAAGGGAATTGAGGTTTAATAAACCTGTAGAATTTCTATAAATCTTGGAATAACTTATATCCTTTTCTGTTTTTTACAGGGAGCATAGGAGTGTTTTGGAATGTAGAAGTTGGTATGAGTAGTCCACTGACTGTGAGTTCCTAGTTGATGGACTGAAATCCAAATGTGGCCCCTGAATTTAAGAAGTATTGTAGCAGTCTTGGGAGTGGGAAGTGACAGTTTTAATGTTTGAGGATTCTGCTTCCAATATTTGTCTATTATAAGTGGGTCTAGAGCTCCTAAGGGCTTCAGGGCTATAAGAAAGCATTTTAGTTATTTTGAATTATTAGAGGATGTTAGAAGCCTTAAGGGGTAAAAAGAAAGCAGGATAGTCTGTAAAAGTTGAGAAAGGGCAAAGGTGTATTACGAAAAAATAGAGGATTTCTAAAGTGAGATTTTCAGTGAAAGAGTTTATGTGAATGTTTCATAAAGTCTCTCTGCAAGAGGATTACTGGTGTATTTGAGCAAAGGAGAAAGCAATGTTGTAAGTACAGACACCTGAGTGACTTGTCTAGTGGTTGGAAGAGTGGCAACTTGTTTAACAAGTTGTGTAATGCTGCCACATAAACCTTACTCAAGGAAGGGTGCACTCAAGGAAGGGTAATAGGAAAGCGTGAGATATTTATGATGAAGTAAGGAGTCTGTGTGTGCACTAAGAAGGTGGTTGTGTGCCCATTACAATAAAGTATAATTTCACCCTCTGTATAAGGGTATCTGTGGACATACAGGGCTTTTTCCTTCAGAGAGATATCTTTGGGGAAAAAAATCTAATCTCTTATTTCCCCTTTCACTTTAAGGCTGAAGAATCTCTAATCTACCGATCATTTTCAAAAAATATTTAAAATGTCTTTATTGACAGTGAGCTTCAGAAAGAAACTGGGATAGATGTATTAGAGCCCTTTCCTTCTGGTTGTTTAAATTGATAAACCCTGAGATTACGTTGAGTTGATTTCGATTTTTCAAGTATGGCAACCTTATGATATTGAGTCAGAGCGTGAATCTCAAAGAGGGTATCTGTGCCGGTTTATGTAATGCTTTTGTCTGATTTCTGTTAGAGATTTAAGACTATTAACAAAGCTGGAACTATATGGTAAATGATGAGGCCAGAAAAATCCTTCTAGATTATTTTTTAAATTTATGTTTAAAGTTGGAGATAAATTTGTCTTGTTGTTTATATTTGTGACCAAATTTGGAAGTGAAAGTCAAGTGGATAGAATCAAAAACATTGCCATCAAATTTCTTGGCTTTTTGTAAAGAAGTTATGCTATTTTTAAATTTATCTGAATGTCATCATTTATGATGACTCATCTAGCCCTTTCAAACCAAAGGCCAGCATCTCCCGTACCCACAAGGAGATTGACCAGTAGATTTTAAAAGCCCTGGTGACAAAGCCCCAAGGAATAGTCTTAACTAATTGGAAAATTACTCTCAATTTTTCCAGGGATCCAGAGAATATTTAACAATGTCAATACATTCAAAAGAATACCATGATTTAAAAATAATATAGTCTCAATTGGTTGTTCTTGGAGTCCTTGAGTTCCCTGAGAGCCCTCAATGGGATGAGGGAGCAAAGATGGTGGAGGTAGGAATATTTAAGGAGGATAAAAGAAAGGATTAAAGAGAACTAAAGGTTAGGTCAAATGTAGTTAATAAAAGGGGAGAGTAAATGTGGAGGGTGTGATAGAAAGGGATAGTCTTAGAAGGCTTTGGGTAAGGGAGATGACTTTTGATAAAAGTAATGGCTTCTGAAAGATTTTGTGGGAGATAAGTTTTTCTGCCTCTTCATACTAGACAAGATAAGCAGACCATTGCTTGGAGGAGATATTGTATATGCAGGACTCAGTATCCCCTAGCAAGTGAACAAGTTTAGCAATACCCCAAGATCCCCAAAGTGGTGGTTCAAAGTCAATGTTGTCTTTAGAAAAACTGTAGTATTTTGGAAGAAATTAGGTGGAATTAGAACTGTAGTGACAGTGTATGAGCCCTGTGTGGGAAGAGTCTAAGGGATATCAGTTAGTTTAAAGGTTTCTCAGGATAATGAAATGATCATCTGTCAGGCCTAAAGGCATTTAAACCCAAGGTATAATTTCCAAGGAGAGACTCAGGGACATTAATCCCCCTAAGAAAAGCAATGGGATATTAAACAAACGCATGATTTTTTCAAGATAGAGTCAGGGTCATAAACCCCACTCAGAAACACGGAAGTGGAATACAGAAAAACAGAAGAGTACTTAAATAAGAGAAAAATAAAGTCAACTGCTTCCTCAGCTAAAACACAAATATCTGAGCATGGGATAAGCAGTTACCATTCACCACCATGAATCCTGATTTACCTAGCCAGAAAAAGACACAAAGGGTCCTTGAAGATGGTATCAATACCTGAGTAAAAACGGTAAGGTCCAAGGGTCAGTCAACACTCTGAGTAATGTCAACATATGGTAAGAGATTTTTAAAAAGCTATCCCAGATATTAGTTTTGAAAGACTTTTTTAAGGGAGGATATTACAATGAAAACATTCTGAAAGTCTAAGGCAGAAACATCTCAGAAAGGGGTGAACAAAAAAAAGCTGTTATATGCAGATACCATGGTATAGGTAGCTGTAAAAAGGGGAAGGCAGTGGTAAAATCTCTGGAGAAGTTATTGAAACTTAGTAAACTCTGTCAAACCTTGCAATAACATAAAAGTCTAGGCAAGGAATACTGCTTGTTTTGAAGAACATGAGAGGTGGGTCTGTCTGAGATGGAGCAAACAAATTACAGTGTGGTAAGTTCAGGTAAAGTTTGAGGCCTACTTGTTTTAGTCAAGCCAGACTAAAATATGCCACGCCCAAAGTTTGATCCTCCTTGTCAGGAAGGACCTTGAAGGAGGTGCTTGGTTCAACGTGAAACTAGCTTTGGGGATGACTGGTCAGGAAGTGCATGGGTCATGGAACTTCCAGTCTAGAGGAGAACTAGGAAGATGTGCATGAATGGAGGTCACAGTTATCTTACAGGAGAATCCTGCAGGAAGTGCATGGGTGTAGATAGTATCCATCTTAGGGGATGTTTTGGCAGCATGTGCATAGACAGAAGGTGCAGTAAGCTTAGAGGAAGAAATGGCAGGTGTTGCATGGGTGGTGATAGGACCCAGACCATGGAAGGCTATGGTACATGCATGCAGAATGCAGCCATCCTAGGGGAGGGATAAGGGAGTGGCATCAATGTAAGATTCAATCATCCTGTAAAGGACTTCACAAAAGATGATGTGTTGGAGGATGAATACAGCCTAGAGTAAGACATTGCAGGAGGTTCTCATCTAGAAGGCACATTTGGTCTAATGTACCTTTCAATGGGAAGTGCATGAGTGGAAGGAACATCAAGCTTATGGCAGCAGGCATCAAGAAGAACATGAGTGGGGAAAGCACTCTACCTACAGAAGGAATTAGCAAGAGATGCGTAAGTAGACGGTGCAGCCAGTCTAAGTATGGTCTGATAGGAAGTTCATGGGTAGAAGAATGAAATTGGACCCTTATATCACAACATGCCCCCAAATTAACTCAATATTGATTAAAGATTCAAATGTGAGATCAGACACTGTGAAACAACTAGAAGAAAACAAAAGAGAAACACTACATGACATTGATCTGGACAATGATTTTTTGGATTTTACCCCAAATGTGCAGACAACAAAAGCAAAAATAGACAAATGATAATACATCAAACTAAAATAGTTCTGTGCAGCACAGAATACAATTAATAAAAATTTATCTCCCAACAAAATGGGAGAAAATATTTGAAACCATACATTTGATAAGGGGTTAATATTCAAAATGTATAAGAAACACAAACAACTTTATAGCAAAAAAAAAAAAAAATTAAAAAATGGGGAAAGAACCTGAACAGACATTTCTTAAAAGAAGACATATAAATGACCAACAGATATATTTAAAAATGCTCAGAATCACTGAACATTAGGGAAATTAAAATTAAAACCACAATGATATATGTCTCATATCTATCAGAATGGTTATTATCAAAATGATGAAGGGTAACAAGTGCTGGCGAGGATGTGGAATAAAGGAAACACTTGAACACTAGGTAGGAATGTCAATTAGTACAGTCATTATGGAAAAATCATATGGAGGTTCTTAAATAAAAGCTAAAAATTGAATTACAATATGACCCAACAATCCTACTTCTTGATATTAACCCAAATGATTTGAAATCAGTTTGTCAAAGAGATATCTAAACTCCCATGTTTACTGCAGCCCTATTCAAAACAGTCAAATTATGGAAGCAACTTAAGTGTCTATCAACAGATGAATGGATAGGGAAAATATGGTGCACACATGTGTCACTGAATGATAGTGGTACATTCTGAGAAATGTGTTGTTAGGTGATTTTGTTGTTATGCGACCATATCATAGAGCATACTTACACAGACCTAGATGGTATAGCCTGCTACACACCCAGGCTATATGGTGTAGCCTATTTCTCCTAGGCTACATACCTGTACAGCATGTTACTATACAGAATATTGTAGGTAATTGTAATACAATGATAAGTATTTGTGTATCTAAACATATCTATATATAGAAAAGGTAATGTTGCACTACAATGTTATGAGGGCCACCACAACATCACTAGGCAATAGAAATTTTTCAGCTCCATTATGATTTTACGCAACCACTGCCATATATGTGGTCCACCATTGACCAAAACACCGTTATGTGGCATATGACGGTACACATACACAATGAAATGCTCTTCAGCCTTAAACTAGAACGAAATTCTAGTATTTGAAACAACATGGATGGAATTAGAGAACAGCATGCTAAGTAAAATACACCAGGAACAGAATGACAAATATAGCATATTCTCACTCAAATGTGGACTCTAAAACAATTAAATTCGTAGAAGCAGAGTGAAGAATGGTGGTTGCAGAGGTTGGAAATTGTGGAAATTGAGGAGATGATGGTCAACAGGTGTAAAGTCTAAGTTAACAAGGGTACCTTTTTTTGAGATCTATTGCCCAGCATGGTGTATATAGTTAATAATAGCCTCTTGAATATTTCAAAATTGTTAAAGAGTAAATTTCAAATATTCTTATCACAAAAAAATAAGTATTTCAGGTGATAGATACGTTTAAAAGCTTGATTTCATTATTTCACATTATATTTATAAATTATAACATCACTTTGTACCCCATAAATATATAAAATTATCAATTACCAATTTATAATTAAATAAAAATTATATAGGTGAAGGGTGCATCCTAGGTGAGGTAAAATTATATATATCATTATATATAATTATAATTATAAAAGTAATTTTACATATATTTGTAATTATATGTTTTTATATTTATTTTATATTTGTTATATATTTATATATATTTTATATTTATATATTTTATATATTTATATAATTTTACCTCACCTAGGATGTACATGGCAGGAGCTGCTCAGGTAGAAGGAGTATCCAGGCTATAAGAGTATTCTGCAGATAATGCAGGCCAGATGATACAATCTAAAAAGGGAAGGACATGGAAGGTGGTACATGGGTTCAAGGTGAAACTAGATTTGTGTAAAATTTGGAAAGATGTGCTTGGGTGAGGGGGAAGTCAGCTTAATGAAAGACCAGGCAGAAAGTACATAGTTGTAAGGAGTTTCAAGCCTAGGGAAGAACAGGGAAAACATTCATGAATAGAGAGGGCAACCATTCAAGGGGATAATTTGGCAGGGAGTGTATGGGTGGAGGGAGAATTCAGTATGGTGGAGGATTAGGGAGGTGATGCATTTGTGGGGAAAACCATCAGCTTAGACTTTAATCTTTTGGGTTCTCTGGGCCACATTGAAAGAAGTAGAATTGTCTGGGAGCACACATAAAATGCACTAACGCTAATAATAGCTGATGATCTTTAAAAATTCACAAAAGAAATTATAATGTTTTAAGAAAGTTTACAAATTTGTGTTGGGCCTCATTCAAAACCGTCCTGGGCCGCATGTGGCCCTTAGGCCACGGGTTGGAAGCTTGGCTTAAAGTAAGACATGGCAGAATGTTTATGGTCGGAGAGGCCATCAGATCTAGAAAAGGATTTGGGAGGAGATGCATTAGTGAAAGGTACAGCCAGCCCACCATAGGACAGAACAGGAGGTTCCAGGGTGGAAGACACAGTCCACTTATAGGAAAATCAGGAAGAAATGAACAGTGGATAGGTCATTGCACATATGAAAGGATATGATAGCAGTGAGCGGATGTTAAATGCAGCCAGTCTAGAGAAATAGCAGTCGCAGATGCATGGGTTAATAACCAGGAGGTGCATGAGTTGAAGGTGCAGCCAGGCTATGGGAGGACCAAGTAGGATATGCATCATTGGATGTTGCAGCCAGCCTGTGTCAGACACTAGCAGGAGGTGCACGGGACTAGTGAACATCTAGGCTAAGTGAGATCTTGGCAATGGGCACTAGGGAAGAAGGAACATTCAGCCTATCACAGAAACAAGTTCATGATTCATGGGTGAAAGAAACATCTAACCAAATGGTAGACCAGAATGTAGTTCATGGGTGGAGGGATAAACTAACCTGGTAGAAGACCAGGCAGTACATGTGGAAGTGGAGGTTATATTCAGCAGAGGGAAGGCCACGGGAAGTATAGAAGTGAAGCATGCAGCTAGCATAATGGAGGACATAGAGGGAGGTAAATGGGTGTAGAAAAGATCTAAGCTAGATGAGTATTCTGATGTATCGGGGGACATTCAGCCAGATATTGGGTGAAATTCGCCCCCGATATTTTACATAGGTTCTTTTCTATTTTCCTTAAGTGTCGGCCAGTCTGAGAAATAAAGGGACAGAGTACAAAAGAGAGAAATTTTAAAGCTGGGTGTCCAGGGGAGACATCACATGTCGGCAGGTTCTGTGATGCCCCCTGAGCCTTAAAACCAGCAAGTTTTTATTAGCAATTTTCAAAAGGGGAGGGAGTGTAGGAACACGGTGTGAGTCACAGAGATCACATGCTTCACAAGGTAATAAGATATCACAAGGTAAATGGAGGCAGGGTGAGATCACAGGACCACAGGACCGGGGTGAAATTATAATTGCTAATGAAGTTTTGTGCATGCATTGTCATTGATAACATCTTATCAGGAAACAGGGTTTGAGAGCAGACAACCAGTCTGACCAAAATTTATTAGGCAGGAATTTCCTCGTCCTAATAAGCCTGGGAGCTCTACGGGAGACTGGGGCTTATTTCATCCCTACAGCTTCGACCATAAAAGACAGCCGCCCCTGAAGCGGCCATTTTAGAGGCCTACCCTCAGGGATGCATTCTCTTTCTCAGGGATGTTCCTTGCTGAGAAAAAGAATTCAGTGATATTTCTCCCATTTGCTTTTGAAGGAAGAGAAATATGGCTCTGTTCCACCCGGCTCACCGGCGGTCAGAGTGTAAGGTTATCTCTCTTGTTCCCTGAACATTGCTGTTATCCTGTTCTTTTTTCAAGGTGCGCAGATTTCATATTGTTCAAACACACATGCTCTACAAAAAATTTGTGCAGTTAATGCAATCATCACAGGGTCTTGAGGCGACATACATCCTCCTCATCTTAGGAAGATGACGGGATTAAGAGATTAAAGTAAAGACAGGCATAGGAAATCACAAGGGTATTGATTGGGGAAGTGATAAGTGTCCATGAGATCTTCACAATTTATGTTCAGAGATTGCAGTAAAGACAGGCATAAGAAATTATAAAAGTATTAATTTGGGGAATTAATAAATGTCCATGAAATCTTCACAATTCATGTTCTTCTGCCATGGCTTCAGCTGGTCCCTCCATTCGGGGTCCCTGACTTCCCACAACACTGATGAAGGCAAATGGTCTGAGGGGGCAGTCAGAATATGTGGGACATGGCTGGTAGTGCATGAGTTATGGGTGCAGCAAGTCTTGGGAGGATATGGCAGGAGATTAGGCATGAAGGCAGCCTAGGGGACAACTTGGAAGAAAATGCATAGGTGTCAAGAGCTTCATGCCTAGGGAAAGATTAGGATGACTTTCATGAATGAAAGGGAGAGTCACCAAAGGAGATTCCAGTAGTAAGTGCATAGGTGGGAGGCATTCAGATTAGGGGAGGATTTGCAAGAAGATTCATTAAAAGAGGTTGAAACCAGCTTAAGGGAGGACATGGGAAAATGTCCATGGATGGCAAAGGCATCAAACTTATGGTAGGAATCAGGAGGAGGGGCATTATTGCACAGAGTAGCCAGCCTAGGGCAGGACATTTCCATAGCTGTCTGTGTGCAAAATGCAGCCAGCCTCAGGGAAGATCATCAAGAAGTGAATGGTGGCTAGGTCATCCAATATATGAAAGGACGTGGGTGTAAAATGCAGCCAGCTTAGGGAAGTACCACCAGAAGGTGCATGGGTGAGGTCTCAGCCAGCACAGGGAAGGTTATGTCAGGAAGTGCATGGGTGAAAAGTATAGCCAAGCTATCATAAAGCCGGGTAGGATGTGTGTGGTTGGAAGGTAAAATCCACCAGGAGGTTCAAGGTGAGAGGAAGCTTCCAGATTAAGTGAGGTCTCAGCAAGAGGTGCAAAAGAGGAACATACAGTCTATGGTAGGACAGAGTGGTCAGATAATGGGTGGAGGAAACATCCAGCCAGAGGGAAGACCAGAAGTTTATGAGTGGAGGGTTCAGTCAGTCTAAAAACATGCCAGGGTGTGTATATGCAGGCTGCAGCCATATTAGGGGAGGTGTTAGAAGATGATATACACGTGGAGGGTGCAAACAACCGAGGGGCTGGCATGGTTGGAAGTGCATGGTGTGAAAAGAAAATAATACCTCAGGAACTCAAACTCACTATATCAAGGGAAAAGTTAAGCTTGGGAACTGAGTCATGCAAAAATCTAACTTTCTTTTGTTCCTAAACATATAGCAGCAAAGAAAGAAGGCCACGTATCTCCCCAGGTGACTTCTCTCACAAATTTCTTACAAGGAAATTCCTTGCAGGCTCCAAAATCTTTACCACCTAAAATAGAGTTGTGTTTAATTTCACCCTAACAATGTGAATTAACAGCTTATCTTCACATGTATGAGACAAAGACAAGACCAGAAATCATCCCTCTACCCACCTTAACAGAAATGCATATTTGACTTCTTCCTCTACTCTACATTATCTAGAATGCAGATATAAAGAACACTAGACGAATGCATAATTGACTATTCTTTCTCTGCTACTCCCTATTTCCCCTTTAAATATTGAAATATTCAAAACCCTCTTTGGAAAAAGTGCGGACCACAGATTTTACTGTGACTTTTGTCTCTTTTTCCTGGGTGTGTCCTCAATCTTGGAAAAATAAACCTCTAAATTGATTGAGACCTGTTTCAGACACATTTTGGTATACATTGGGAAGAGGGAACATCCAGCAAAAAAGGAGGTAGTTGCAAAAATGCATGGGTGGAGAAAATATCCAGTCACTAGTAGGATCAGGTGGGCAGTTCATTGGTAGTTAGAGAATCCAGGCTAATGGAGGAAATGGCAGCAGTTGCAGTATAGGAAAGGGAAGTAAGCTTAGGGGAAAACCTGCAGAAAGTGCCTACATAAAATATGCAGTGAGAACCACCAAGAAGTGCATGAGTACAAGTGAGACAATCACCGGTAGGTTCAAGTATAGAGGGATCAGAAAGCCTAGGGAAGACTAGGCAGGAGATGCATTAGTGGAGGGAGCATGCAGTCTAATGGTGGACATAGCAGGAAGTTAAAGGTTTGTGGGAAGTATTCCAGTTTCTAAACCAGCAGCATGTGAGTCAGAGGAGGGAGCAGAGGGTTCATGGGAAGAGGTAGCATTCATCCTAAGGTAGAATTGGTAAAAACTGCATGCATATAGGAAGGAACAATTCCATACACAGACCGAGCAGGTATTATATATGTAGAGGATGCAGCCTTATTATGAGTGGAATCAAAAGGATCTGCAAACATGGAGAAGACAGCCAGGAGAATTGGCTATAAGTACATGGTAAAGGAGGCATCCAACCAAGGTGGGGAATCTGTGGGTTTATATATGCAGGGTGCAGCAAGAATAAGATAGGATTCAGCAGACAGTGCAAGGGTGGAGAATACACTCAATCTAGGGGGAAAAAGTTTCAGGTGGTGTATGGTTGGAGAGTGAAACTAGCCAAAGAGAGGTACATAGGTGGAAGAAACATGTAGCCCTATAAAAGGATATGGGAATAAGTACATGGCTGGAGGAAGCATCCACCCTAGGGGTAGTCTTGGCAGGAGTTGCATGGATGGAGTATTCAGTGAGTATAGGGACAGATATGGCTATAAGCTCATGGGTAATGGAGCAGCCATTATAGGGTAGGACCTAGCAGGAAATGCCTGAGTCAAGGTTGCAGCCAGATTTAAGTACAGGGCAGAAGGCACATATGTGCAGGGGACATCTAGCTTAGGAGTGACACTAAAGGATATTTATGGATGTACAGTCTTGAGAAGCAGTCACCAGGAAGTGCATAGATCAAATGAGCATCTATCTTAGAGTTGGACACAGTCAGAGCTCTATGGATGCAGCCAACTTAGGAAGGACCTGGCAGAAAGTACATCGGTGGAATGTAGCCAGTCTAGTGAAGGGCCTAGCAGGAACTGTATTTTGGAGTGTTCATCCTGCCTGGGAAAAATACTAGGCAAAAAATATGTGAATGGAGGGAGCACAGAACAGAGGTGAGGACATTGCAATAAATCCATAAGTGGAGAAAACATCCAGTCTAGGGTAAGACTCAGCGGGCAATGTATGGGTGGAAGGAGCATTCCACCTAGGAGAGGACTCAGCAAGAGGTTCGTTGGTGAAAAGTGCCACCAGCCTAGCAGAGGACACAGCAAAATGCAGAGTTTTAGAGACTTTCTCTCCTTGGGAAGAAGTAGGTGAGATATATTAACAGATGAGGGTGCATCCATCGTAAGGTAAAATCTGGTGGGAGATGTATTGTTGGAGGGAGCATGGGAGGATAAGCATGGTTTGGGATGCATGGCTGGTGTTGCATGATGTAGGGTGGACCTAGCCTAGGGGTCAGCCCCTCAGTAAGTGCATAGTAGAAAGGAGAATCAATCCTTGAAAAGGACCTAGCAGGAGATACAGAAGAGGAAGCATTCAGGTTAGAAGAGGGCTTCATAGAAAGTTCATTAGTAGGTGGTTATACAGGCCCAAGGGAGAATGTGGCAAGTAGTTCATAGTTGGAGCATACAGTCAGCCTAGGAGAGAATATAGCAGGAAGTGAATAAGTGGAGGGAGAATCCTTTCAAAGAAAACTCAGCAGGAGTGGTATAGCATTCTTCTAGAGGGTAAACTGACAAGACATGCATGGGAAGCAGTTGCATCCAGACTGAGGGAGGAGTAAGAAGGGGTCTTAGTGCAGAAAATAGCCATTGTTAGGGAGGACCCTGCAGGAAGTGCATGAGTATCAGATGCAATAAGCCTCGAGGATGATTCGGAAGGAGATGCAAAGCTGGAAGTTTCAGCCTTTAATTTTAAAGAATTCATAATCTAATATATTAATACCATGTGGAGGTAAGAAAACCTTACATCCTCACACAATCATAACTGAAGGTGTTTCCAAATTATAGACATGTAGACATGCAGAAATAGAGAAATAGAGCATTTAATTTCAATTTTACAAATTTCAGCCATGATTCAAGAGTAAACACAGAAACAGTAAAAATCCCTGGTACAGATATCCAGTAGTTGTTTCCTTCCCAAGGAGCATGAAATTCTTCATTGGTTTGAGCTGAAAAATAGACAGAACAATTGACGCAACAGACTCTGTTTTCTCTCACTCAAAAAAGAACAGATCTCTACAAACTATCAATCTATTTAGAAAATATCCAAATGGTCAGATCATAAAACCAATTCTCACCACACGCCCAAGCAAATGCACTTTTAGGTATATACACAAGACAATCAAAGATACACGTTCATACAAAAACTTGCACACAAGTGCTTATAGCAGCATTATTTATAATACCCAAAAGGCAGAAACAACCCTAATGCCCATCAACTAATGAATTGATTAAAAAATGTGATTTATGCATATAATGGTCTATTTTATAGTCATAAAAATGAATAAAGTACTGATACACACTATAATGTGAATGAACCTTGAAACATTATACTAAATGAAAGAAGCTAAATTTCAAAAGGCCACATATTGTGTTGTCCCATTTACATAAAATGCCTACAATAAGCAAATCCGTAAAGATAGAAAGTAGATTAATTTTTGCCAGGAGCTTGTGGGGAGATGGGAATAGGAGTGACCGCTTAACAGTCTGAAATCTGATAGGGATGAAAATTGTGAATGTAGTGTAGTAATGGACACTGAATTGTACACTTCAAATAGTTAAATTGATAAATTTTATGTTATGTGAACTTAATTAAAAAGTAAAGTAAATACAAAGCCAAAAACTCAATTCCCAACCATGGTTTTCAACAATGGGAAAAACTTATTGGCTGTAAAATAAACCAAAAACAAAACAAAACAAAAATGAACCAAAAGCAAAACACTAAATTAGCATAGAGGAAAACACAAATTATAAAAACAGAGTCAACAAAGTACTATTGGTGAATTAGATTCACATAGGAGAGTCAATACAACACATGCTGGGCTTCAAACTTGCATGTGTGTAGTGCGCTTCTGTCATCAAAGTTTACATGGTTCTAGTAGGTAAAACAATTGGACATATCAGTGTGTCCTACAAAACAGGTAAAGATAATTATCAAGAGTGTAAAATCATGACACTCACACAAATGTGAGCACGTTAAAATATTTATCACATATGGAAATTGGCAGATATTATAACCAGTATAATGGAGAATCCAAAGAACAGAAACATGCATACTGATCAGGAATAGTGAATGGAATATGTCAGTGGAGGCAAAACTGGTTAGTGTAGTGTGTATTGGTCTGGGGAGACTGAACCTACCGTTGAGGTCTCTAAGTTGTGCATGTCTCTCAGTGACCTACAACTTACAAACGGATGTAAAAGAGCTCAAAGACAATGCAGGACTAGAATCAGATAGATTACATGGAGTTGTATCCTATGAACAAGGAAAAGGTTTTCATTGAAACACACATTTTTTGCTAGAATGTTAAAATCAAGTAGATAGTTAGCATTCCCTTAAAAAGAAGTTCCAGTTACTAGGGTGACCAGATTCCTCTCATGGGCATTTCTAGGCTGAGGCCTGATCACGGCCCAGTGGACACCAATGACATCACAAAGTGGAGGTTGTCACTAAGGCAACTGATGACCAGTGAGGGGCTGGAGCACAGGGGTATAGTGGGCTGCAGTAAGCACTGGCACCTTGAGAGACTCAGGCCAGCAGAAAAATCAAGCTGTGACAACCGGGGCAAAACCCAGCAAACATCATGGCTGGAAACAAACACAGTCGCAGCTCCTGTAAGCCTAGAAGACAGTGCCTTTCCCGTTCCAGAAGAGCGGAGCTGCAGTTTCCTGTTAGCCACATGGAACGCTGCCTGCGAGAAGGTCAGTATGCCCGGCACCTGAGCTCAACCACACCTGTTTTCCTGGCTGCTGTTCTCGAGTACCTGACAGCCAACATCCTGGAACAGGCAGGCAAGGAGGCCCAGAACAGCCACAGGGTGTGCATCACCCCAGAACACCTGAAGAGAGCACTGCAAAAGAATGAGCAGCTAAGATGGATCTTGGAGGAGGAAGATGACATCCACTCTCAGGAAGAAGAAATGCCCCAACCTGAGGAGGAGGAGGAGGAGGACGAGAGAATGGAGGAGGAGGAAGAGGAGAAAAAGGAGGAGGAGGAGAAGGAGGAGGAGGAGGATGAGAGAATGGAGGAGGAGGAAGAGGAGAAAAAGGAGGAGGAGGAGAAGAAGGAGGAGAAGGAGAAGGAGGAGGAGAAGGAGAAGAAGAAGAAGAAGGGAGGATTCCTGAGTTTCAGAGCTGTGCAGGACTTCATCAGCAACCTCTTCCAGCTGCTAAAATTCCCATAGATGAAAGACCCCAGGTTGCTTCCATCTGCCCAAGCTATTAAACTGTATAAATGCACGACAGTGCTCCTGATTCCTCTCAGTTTCTGTCACTTTGGGTTGGAGGTGTCTGTGAGACATTTAGGAGAAACTATCCCTAGAGAGCTGAAGTGGGGGAAGGGGTGGCCTGTGTGGGGAGTGTTTGAATCAGTGATTTAGAGGGGGCAGTTCTCAATGGTGACGGTGAGGGCACTGGCCCTGTGAGGAGGAACTGGCTTGGGTAGACACTGAGACTTCCTCATTGTCTCTGAACAGGAAGGCCTTGTGAGGCCAGGGAGTTGGCTGGGGGCCTCTGAGGCTTGTTGAATTCCCAGCCTGATGCTGGGGCCTGAGGTGGAGCTGCAGACTCTGACTGAGGTGCGGGAGGCTTTATTCAGGATAGCAAAGGTCTGAAGTCAGAGGGCGGTGGCCACAGGGGTGGGTGGAAAGAGGGCACACTGGCTGGCATGAACTTCATGGGACAGGGGATTTACATAGAGATTGTGCTGGGGTTGTCCTCAGGGCCATTTGGGAGATATGCTTGTCTGAATCCCAGAAGCCTTTCTTGCCACATGATTTCCACTGAACCTCATATTCCCAGGCAACTCATTGTGAAGATGCCCACCCCACCACTGGGTGATTCCTTATGGAGAACTATAGAGCATTCCCAGCCTTAGCCCAGATCGTCACTTTCTCTTCTGTGCATTTGAGAAGCAAGCAGGCGTCTCTCCAGCATCTGCAGGTAGGGAGTCTCCTTCAGCTGATCACATCATGGTGACAGCAGCACCCCCTCCCCTTGCCAAAGTGAAACATCTTTGTTTTCAGGTTATGTGTTTCTGCTAGTCCAGTGTCCTCCAGTCAGAAGAGAGTGCCTCTAGGATGAGTAATGGCAGCAAACTGATCATTTTCCTCAGATCTTGACATATTGGCTAAGTAGTTGTCTGGTGTTTAAAAGCTGCTGATGTTGCTTATGGCTGTGGCTTATTGTAGAACTAGACATAATGTCCTGGATACTTCACTGGAATGCACATCTGAGGACTTCACTCAAGGCAGGAGAAGCCATAGTAGGTGGGTGGCCTGTGGCGGGTGAGTCCCTCTGTGTACTCAGGTGGTCACCTTACAGTTTATGCAGTCATCAACACTAACGGTCACTGTGACCCTGTAAGGACCCGGGCTTCTGGGCTCCTTCAGACTCTGTTTCATGTCTGAGGTGGAGTTTGAAGGTTGACCTTGGATGAGCCCCTGTTTCAAGCTCTCTGCAGAGTCAAGGGGCATGGGAGAGTCAGCAGGAGTGACCACCATCCCTTTAAGAATTGTGTTCAGCTGTGCTTGTGGGTTTCACAGGAAGCATGGGGGCCACAGCCAGCATAGCATCAGGCTAATGTGGCACCCTGCCAGATCTCCCTTCCACATGTGCAAGGTATCCTACACTCAGGGGAGACAGGGAGGAAGAGAGAATCGCTGCCATTGGGAAGGCATGAGCTCACCCATATTTAGGCCTTTTGTGCATTTCTAACAGTCAGGAGGGAAAGGTGAGGAAGTAGTCCCTCTGGCCTGTGCCCTGTGGACAGGACAGCATTGGTGGCCAGTGCCCTATTGGGATTGGGAAAACTAACTCCCGAGTGGGCAAGGGCAGAGGCTGGAGTGACTGTGGCTTCCAACTTGTCCAGTGATCACAAGCAGTGTCAGGGCAGGCCGGGGTCAAACTTGTGTCAAGACTGCAGGAAACTTCATGTGTGAGGAAAGATGAGCACCAGAGTTGAGGCTGGGGGCAGGGGACTTGGAGGTTAATGGTGGCTTGGTCTTGGCATGAACACAAGGCCTGGTTACCAGACTGGCCTCCCAAAGAGAACATCCTTTGCAACAGAAGCATTTTGAAGGCCCAGGTCTCCTGGTCCTTGTATGTGACAGATATTGCACATGTGTTCTGAGGGAGATGGCAAGATTCTTTACAAAAGGTCTTTGGAACCCCAAAATAGGATTCAAGTAAAAGAAAATATCAAATACACTATTTCCCGAATGCACAGATTACACACTGCCAGCCCACATGCCTAATCTGGACAACAGGTTTGCTAATCCTACATAGACATTACTAGTATCCATTTTTACAGATGTGGACACCAAGGTTCAGAGATGTTAATTAGCTCACTCAGTCACATGACAAGTATGTATAGCATAGTGGGGGCAAGAGCCCAGCCTTCCTTACCTATTGTTTTGCTCTTTCCTCTACTCTATCCTGAGAAATGGGCCTTGAGAAAAAAATTAATGTTTTCTTCTAGAAAACAGAAACTAGTCTTCAATACTAAGATGTTAGGGTCTATTGGATATCCAGCAAAGCATCTAAATAACTTACTCTCAATTACCTTCATTTCTGTTTTATTTGGTGAAGGCTGGATAAGCTAGGATTAAAAAGACTGATTGTATGAAACTGCTTCTCAACTGAGGTGTTTTTGAGAACTGCCTCTGTTCACTGTCATGGTCTTAAAGGTGATTATGTGTCATCAGAAGTTTCTGTTAGCTGAAGTCTGTATCAAAGAGACTGTTCTTCGAAGTACTAGTACTGAGGGTACTGCCTTTTTCCTCAAAGCTGTGAAATTGTCTTTTGTCATCAAAGACAAGAACTCTGGTTTTTATCTGGTGGCAGAGCCTTTGGGAAGCATCAGAGTAAACTGAAAAAATTATCTGGAGATGACAGGTTTTAATTTAACAGCTCATCAATAATAACAATAAACAAACCTAATTATTTTAACACAATGCTATCCATAAAGTGAAAGAACAAATATTTGTGACATTCCAGGAATTCCATGGAAAACCACAAAGAGTGTTATAGATGCCAAAGATGCTGTGAAAGTTTTATTCTTTATATCATTTTTCATAGAGAATTTAATTTGGGAATGTAAAATTTTAAAGTTGACTAGAGTTTTATGCACTTGAGATGGGCAGAACTCAACAGTAGGTGTGTGGGTAGAGGAAACATCCAGACTAGGTGTAAACTCGTTGGGAAGTCCATAGGTAGGTGGCACAGGTAGCCTAAAGGAGGTATTGGTAATTATGCATGGTTAGAGCTAGTCTAAGAGAGACATAGCAGGAAGTGCATGGTTTGAGGAATTCTCCAGCCTTGGGAAAGATACTGCAAGAAATGTATGAGTAGAAATATTATATAGCTTAGGGGAAAATTCAGCAGGAGATGCACATTTGGAGGAAGGAGTCAGTCTATGGGAGGCCTTGATGAGAAATCCATGGGTCAAGTGAGCACCCAGCCCAAAGAAGAACATTAGAAGAGATGCATGGGTGGAGAAAACATCCAGCTTAGTAAAAATAAAAAAAAACCCAAAAAACAAAACAAACAACACCTCAGCACGAAGTGTATAAACTTAGATGAGAGTTGTGCATTTGATGCTATAGGTTGAGGTTGCAGCATGCCTAGGAGAGAAATTATCAGATGGTATGTCGGTGGAGGGAGAATCTATGGTGGAAAAGGTCTTGGCAGAGAGTGCATTATTGGAGGGCACAGCAAATCTAGAGGAATTTCTGGAAGAAGGTTTATTGTTGAAAGGGGCATCCAGCCTAGAAAAGGACTCTGAAGCAGTTGCATTAGTGGAAAGTGCATACAGTCTAGGAAAAAGGTTTATAGGTGGAGGCAAAAGGTTTATAGATGGAGAATGTAGCCAGTTTAAGTAAGACATAACTGGTGGCACATGGAGAGAGGGGGTATCAAAGATGTGGGGAAGAATGTGCAAGAGTATCATCGGTATATGGAACATTCAGCCTAGATAAGCACCCAGAAGACGTTTTATGAGAAAGGATGGAGTCATTCTAGGGAGTCTTCTTAGGAGGTTATTGGGTAGAGGTAGCAATCAACCTAAAAGAGGACTCAAAAGGGTGTACATGGATGGATAATGCAGCTAGCATAGGGGAGGGATTCAGCAAGTCGTGAATGGGTCAAGATGGCATCCAGCCCATGAGAAGAGTAAGCAGGAGGTATGTGGTGATGGGAGTATACAGCCTAGAAGAAAAACACACAGGAGGTGCATGGATGGAGGATGCAACCAGCCTATAGGGGGACCCAATATCAGGTTCAGTAGTGGTGAGTACAGCTGGCTTTAGGGAAAGCCCAGCAGTAGCTGCAGGAATGGAGGAAGCATTCACAGGAAAGGAAGAACTTTCAGCAGGTAAATATTGGATGAAAAATTATAAATCTATCCTAAGAGAACACATAGTAGAAGGATCATCCAGTGAAGGGAGGAACCTACAGCAGGTGCACGGTTGAAGCAAGTGGAAAGCCTGGGGAATGACATGAGAAGTAGTGGAGGGATGAGTGGAGGGATGCAGCCAAAACAGGAAAGGAATTAGCTGAAGGGGCAAAGATTAATGATACAAGCCTGCTGGATGATCTGAGAGAAAGTGAATGGCTAGAGGGAGAAGTCAGCCTGTGGCATTGCATGGCAAGATGTGTACAGATGGAAGAGGAGGAAGTCAGCCTGTGGCATTACATGGCAAGAGGTGTATAGATGGAAAGTGCAGAAAGGCTATGAGAGGCCACCCAGACTGCTTATGGCTGGAGGATTCATCAAGTCTAGGGGTGGACTTGGCAAGAGATAATGGATGAAGTGTACATCAAGTCTAGAAAAGAACATAGTAGAAAGTGGATAAATGAAGTTTGCAGTGGGCCTAGGGTGGGATCTGGCAGGAAGTTCAGGGGTGGAGTTAACACCCAGTATTAGGTAAGACTTGGGAAATGGGGGAGTAATGGGTAATACAGACAGCTTGAAGAGGAAATGGCATAGAGTGCATAGATTGAGAGTATAGCCAGTTTAGGTGAATAATTTGCAAAAGTTGCATTCATTTAGAGAGCATCCAGACTAAAGGGAAGCTTAGCAGAAGGTGCATGGGAGGGTAGGGGAGGATGTCACAGAAAGTGTATGGCCAGCAACAACATCCTTTTTCTCTCTCTGCTTCTCCTTGTGAGTGACCCTCTGTGGCCCTATGTGACACACCACGCCTCTTGTCCTCTGGGGAACTGTGAGTAATAAACACTTCTTTCAAAGGCAGTTATCTTCTTGTCTATCATCTTGCCATACCTAATTATAATAAAACATATCTCGAGTACATTTTTAAACAATTGGTGCATTGAGCAGGGTAGTTTGGTGATTGGTGAGGATGACATGCCTCTAGACTGCTCTTGGCTTACTAACTGAATCCAACAGAGAGTAAATACTGCCTGGAATGGCACTGCTGGCTTGTATTTTAGCAGCTGCCATTGTGTTGTGACTGTCAGGTACTGCTCTGATTCTCCAGTCTAAATTATGGTAGAGTTCAAAAAGCTGAGTCGTCCCTGAGCAACTGTCCTTAGAGTGCTGTAGTCTGGGTAAAGAAGTCTCCAGTTGACTTCTTATGTATTTACAATGTGTCCAGAAGTGACTATGGTAACTGGCTATTGTACTATGTGAAGGTTGTCCAGAAGGGACAATAGTGTGAAATAGTGTATCACAAGACCAAGAGCTTTGATTTTAGAAACAAGCATAAGAACAAACCAGGCAGTGCCACAGTTGCCCTCATGGAACTAGACTCCAAACCTGGGGAGACTGACTGGGACACCGTAGAACAGGAGATGCCACCTATAGGCAGGACCACAACACCAAAACACTGCCACAAGTAGTAAACAACCAAAGAATAAAAACCACTGGAAAGAGGAGCGAATAGGAAAACAAGGCAGAGACTGAGTTGGGACCTTTTCCTAATATGCAGTTACCACCTTTTGAGACACTATAGGACTCTAAAACATCATCCCCAGACAAACATATGTATTAGAGACATGGGCATCTCTCATGAAAAAAAAAATTAAAATGGGCCAGCCTGCTTATTATAAACTCCAACAACCAAAAAACCTGCTAGATACCTTTGAAACTCATGCAGCAGGGGAAGTTCCCCTCTCTTTACTTCAATTTGGTCCAAAATAGTGGATAGGAGATGCCCCACTGAGACGAAGAAAGGCACTTCCAGTTCCTAGTTAATGGGTTCCTAATATCATGTCCTGACCTTCAACAATGGCAGCCACCTAACTCCCTCCTGAAGGAGACAGCAGCTCCCCAAAGCTTGTCTCACTGCCTGGGGAAAATCACCGACATACTACCAAAGTTTTCATTGAAGCTCAAAGAATAGCCAACATTTTCTGGTCCTTTTAGGTACAGGGATACAGATAACAGTTACTCTGGGTATCCCATCTCTTTTCAAATATATATGTATATATATACATATATATTTGCAACCTATTTAAAATTCAGGGCATATTGGGTCACCCCATTAAGGGCATATGGGTTCCACTTGATGCTAAAATGGGATCTCTTAGCTAAATTCCTTGTGATATTCCCTCTGTCTCTGGCCCATCTAGTCATAAGCATGAACACCAAACACGTTAGGGCCACCTCTTAAATTGGAACATGCCAAAATCCGCACCACTTGCTATAAGACATGCTCAAGGAGAGATCATAGTCCCTCTGCCTCCCCTTAAAATTGTCAAGAAGACTCAACACAAGCTATGACAATGTGCAGCTTGACTCAGGCCTATTATTTTAATCTTTTAAAAGATAGAATTGTGGTTCCTATCATCTCTCTTTTTAATTGCAGTATCTGATCAAAGCAAAAGGCAGACAAACAAGAATGGCCTAAGTATAGATTACTGCCACCTCAATGCATTTGTTCTGTCCATGGAGGCACCTTTTCCTAACATTATTGAAGTTATTAGTATCAGGGTTCACCTAGTGATTTACTTGTGGTAACACATCTAGTCAATATTTTCTACTCAACATCCATTGCCAAAGATTCACAGCCACGTTATGCCTTCTCCTTTGAGGACACACAATATACATTCACTTGATTATCTATAGACTACCTCAATAGCCTGGCCATAGCACATGACTCTGGAGGAAGGACTTATAATTCATCAATTTACAGCATTCCCACTTTTGGCACTATGTAGATGACATCTTACCTAGGAGACCTTCTCAAGATAATGTTACACAGGGCTTACATACTCTTACACATCACCTCCAAGATAGGAAATATACATGAATAAAATACAGGGACCTGCAAAGATGATAAAATTATTGTATATCTTGTGGTCATCAGAGGGTTCTTCCATTCCTGGTTCAGTAAAACACGAATTACTCACCCTCTTCATGGTACCACAGACACTTAAACAGGCCCAAGATCTCCTGAGCCTCTTTACCTTTCAAGACCAACACATCTCACATGTATTCAGTATACTTGGACCCACATATGAGGTCATATGCAAGTCAAACTTCCTCCATTAAGGCCTCTCACAACAAATCTTAATAGTCAGATAACTTTACAGTAGGCATTGACCTTGGTTCCCTTGGGATCCAACTTTTAAATCAAGGCTTTGGCTACAAAGGACTATGCCTCTTGGAGCTTCTGCATCAGGCATGGTTTTAAGTGGTTGCCCATGGGTTTTTGGAATAAGTAACTTCCTCAAATGGCAGATATTCACCTCTCAAACAACAAATTCTGTCCCTTCTGGAAACTGAGGCCCTAATTGGCTCAATTCTATTTGGCATCCAGACACAAATCCTTATCATGCCTTAAGTCAAGACTCCATGCCAAGAGGCTAGGCATGGCCACAGAATCCTCTTTGGTTAAGTGGAAATAGTAATTTAGAGATTCAGTTAAGCCTGATGCCACAGGACTTTCCAAACTTCTGAAGAATTGGCTTCCCATGTGCTCAGTCCCTTGGCCATGCCTATTAAGGAGGTGGAGGTATACACCATGTCATTCCTAGTAGTGATCTAGGGAGCTCCTTGAGATCAAATGTCTGGCATAGGAAGTCAGTATGCCTCACCAATGGCAGGGCCACCATCCCACATGGTGGGAATCAGTAGTGAGTGGTGGCATACCACACTGCTTCTGGTTCCTCTATCACAAGGAATAGACATGAGGGTTGGCCCAATTGGCAGAGTTTGAGGCTGTCTACCTGATTTTTCAGGATGCCCTGCATTGCAAATTGCCTGAGATTTGTTTGTTGACTGATTCCCGCATGGTCGTCATTGGGTCAGAAAAATTGAAGCAAGATAATTTTACCATTCAGGGAAGGTCTTTGTGGGCTATCTCATATGGCAGACATTACTTCATCCCCCATACTTATTCTTGTTTTGCACATCTCTGCACATATCAAATCAAATAAATCAGAATCACATTATAATTCTATCACAGACAGCTTAGCAAGAAATAAATTCACTGTACTAATACATGGATCTGCCTCTCCCAGATAATCTCCATTGTCTGCTTTTGTTCATGGCCAGATAAGCATATGAACCCTAGGGACACCTAGGGTCCCAGGCTACTTTGGGAACAAAGGAAAGACTTCCTTTATAAGGTTTCCAGACATCAAAGTTGCCCAAATTAGCTGTAATCTGTGTACCTTTACCAAACACTGGCCTTTATCATCTGTAGATACAATTTCTCGGGGCATGAGGCCATATAGTCAGTGACAATTTGATTCTATTGGGCCTCTGCCACTCTCTGCTGGTGCCACCTGATATGCTTTTATCATGAATTACACATATATGGGTTTGCTGTTAGCCTTCCACTCCGGGCATTCTAATTCTGAGTCTACTATTTAGGACCTTACTAGGTTGGTCCTTACTAGGTTGGTTCCTTGATCATCCTTCCAGTTCCTGCAGACTTGCATCCCTGACATGTCCTTAACTTGGCTGGCTGTACTCTCCCACTCTGCACCTCCTGCCAAGTATTCTTAGGCTATCTGCACCATCCACCCACGCACCTATTTATGGGCCTTTGATGCTTCCTCCACCCATGCATTTCCTGCATATTCCTCCGACAAGGCTGTATAATGCTTTTACTTCTGCACCTCCTGCCATGTTTTCCCTTAGACTTGCTATATTCTCTGCTTATGAATCTCTTGCCAGGTCCTCTCTGAGAGTGGCTGCATCCTGCACAAACATACCTACTTCTGAATCCTATCCTAGGCTGAATACCCCTTCCACCCTTTCACTTCATGTCAGTATTTTTCTAGACTTGTTGTACTCTCCAACAATCCACTTTGTGCCATGTCTTCCCTGAAGTTGGCTGCGCCCTCCCATAATTACTCAATCCTGTATACCCACCACCCCCACCCCAGGATGAATTCTGAGGTAGAATGTATGCCATTCACATCCGTGCACATCCTGCCAGATTTTCTCCTAGGATGTCTGCACACTTCACTCACGTTCCTTTTACTGAATCTTCCCCTATGCATGGTACTCCTTCCACCATTCAACCGCCTGGATGTCCTCACATCTGCTTACTGCATCCTGCATCCACACACCTCCTGCCAAGTCTTCCCTTACACTGGCAGCATCCTCCACTCATGAACTTCAGGCCAGGTTCTTCCATATGATGGCTGCATTGTCAACAATGTACCTCTTCTCAAGTCCTCCCTTAGACTAGACATTACCTTTTCCCTTGCACTGCATACTAGTCATTCTCTAGGCTCCCTGCACCCTCCACATATACACATTCTGCTGCAGATAGCGTTATGTTGATAATCTCACCACCCACACATGTTCTGCCATGCCCTCTTCACTAGGCTAGATGCTCCCTCCTCCCATGCACATCATGCTGAATTATCAAATTTGGCTCCATTACCAACCCTTGAAATTAACATTTAACCCTCCAATAGTTTAGATACAAAGAATATCCTTGCATTTTTTGCTAGAAACCCTCCTACTCCAGCTTCACTCTCTGTTGATGCACTTCCTACAGGTTTCTCTGTGAGGCTAGCTTCACATTTCCTCATGCAAATCCAGCAATGTCCAACTGACAATGCAATTACTGCTAGTTAGTTCCCAGACTGGCTACACCCTCCGAACCATGCACTTCTTGGTGCACCAAACTTCAGGCTGGCCTCACTCTTAAGCTTCCTGATGGGTCCTCCCCGAGGCTGGTGCATGCTGTAGTCATAATTTTCCTGACTACTCTCCCTTTGACTTGCTGAAAATGCCACAAATGCACTTAGGACTGAGTACTCCCTTAGCCTGGATCTCCCTCACTCACAGAATTCTTGCCATGTCCTTGCTTAGGCTTTACCCTCTCCTAAACCCCCTAAACCTCCTATGGGGTTCCCCCCTAGGCTGCCTTTTCCTACCTCAGTTGCACCTCCTGAGTGCCTTACTATAGTGTGTACATATGCACGGAGTGCACACATACATATAGCACCTGATGGGACCTCCACTAGCCTGGATGTTCCCTCTACATGCCATATCCTCCTTTATACTGCGAGTTTCCTACACCCTTTCATTCCAGCCAGAATGTATTTATTATAAACTCATAAACCTACTCCAATGTTATTCCATAAGCTTTCTGTACCCTCCACCTATATTTTTCCTAACAAGTTATACCATTGGCAATCCACCCTCTCCACCCAAATTTCTACCAAATCATCCCCTTGACCAGATTCTCTTTCCTCCCACAAACATCCTGCCATGTCCTAACCAAGGCTGGATGTAACCTTGAGCCATCCACTATTCTCCGATTCCTCCTGTATGCTAGAAATCTTCTCTAATGATGTTCTCTCCAACCATTCATATAACACTGAGTCCTCTCCTAGGTTGGCTCATCCTCTTCAGATACCATCTTCCCAAGTCTCCACTAGGTTGCATGGCCCCTCCACCCACATACTTCATGCTGATTCTAACCCTAGGCTTAATGCTCCCACCTCCCATGCATTTCTTGATGAGTTCTTCCTAGGTTTGCTGCACCATCTTTCATATACTCAATGCTGAGTCCTCCATTATTCTGGATCCTTCCTCCACCAATGTCATGCCAAAATCTAGGCTGATTACTCTTTCTACTAATGCATTTATTCCACCACACACCACCCATGCAATTTCCTCCAGGTTCTCAACTATACTGGATGTATCCTTCACTTCTGCACTTCATGTGGAATATTTTCCTGATCTGGCTCCAACATGCACATCTTGCCATGTTCTCCCTTATGCTGGCTGTATCATTCTCACTGTACCTTCTTCCTACTCCTTTCTTATGCTAGATAGACACTCCAACCATACGCTTCCTGAACGATTATTTCTTAGCCTGGCTGCACTATGCACCCACGCACTTCCTACTGATTCCTGCTTTACGCTGGCTGCACCTTTCACCCAAGCAATACTGTCACTTCCTACACTAGAAATTCTCTGCACTGCACAAATGTACTTCCTATAGAGCTCAAACCTAGGCTGGCTGGAGTCTTTGATAATGTACTTTCCCCTAGTCTTCCTCTAAGCTGGTTACTACCTCCACATATGTACCTTGAATATCCTGCCTAGTCCTCTCCTAGACTAGCCATACCCTTCATCCATACACTTCTTGTTCCGGGCCTAATCTGATTGTTCTCTCATGCACCCTATAACAAGTCCTACCTGTGCTGGATGCTCCCTCTAGCAATGTATATCCTGCCATGTCCTAACCTATGCACCTCCCCCTGAGCCTTCTACTAGACTGGATGCTCCTTTCACTCATACACTTCCTGCAATATGCTCTCCTAGGCTAGATGTTCCCTCCTTCCTTGCACATTCTAGTGAATTCTTCCTAAGGGTGGATGTTTCTAATTCCCATGTATATTCTTCTGTATCTTCTCCTAGTCTGGGCTCTTCTGTGCAACTAGTTCTGACTGCTCTTCATTGCTGGCTGCTCCAATTACCCATGTACTTACTGAATTCATTCATAGGCTGGATGTTCTCTCCACCCACACACTTCTTGTCAGGTCTTGCATTGGGATACCTACATCATTTAGCCATGTACCTTCTGCTATATCATTCCCTAGACTGACTGCAACTTCCACTCCACTTATGCACATTCTGCCCTTCACTACTCTAAACAGGGGTAGTGAGTTGAATGGTGACCCTCAGAAAGATATGTCCATGTTCTAATCTCCAGAGTCTGTGAATATAATCTTATTTGGAGAAAATATACTTGCAGATGTAATTATTTTAAAGATCCCTAAGATGAGATCCTTCTAGATTATCTGAGTGAGCCCTAAATCCAATGGAAAATATCCTTATAAAAGAAAGGCAGAGGGAGATTTGACACAGACAGAGGAAGAGAAGACACATGAAGGCAGTGTGACCATGGAGAAAGAGATTGGGGTGATGCAGCCAAGTAATCTGAGAAGTAGTCATAGCCACCAGAAGCTATAAGAGGCAAGGAAACATTCAACCCTAGAGATTTTGGAGGGAGCATGGCCCTGCCAACACTTGATTTCAGACTTCTAGCATCCCAAACTATGAGATAATACATTTCTGCTGTTTTAAGCTAACGAGTTTTTGGTAATTTGTCACAGCAGCCCGAGGAAACTAATACAGAAAGCTTCATTCTATACTCCTGCACCTCAGCCCAAGTCCTCTCCTAGACTAGTTGATCCCTCCATCCTTAAACCTCCTGTCAACTGTCACTTAGGGTGGCTGCAGCCACCATTCATGCATGCTGCCTGCTGAATCCTTCCCTAGCCCCTCTGCACTTTCATCTTATACACTTCCCACCAAGGCCTCTGTTCAGCAGGGATGCCCCATAACACCTGCATTGCAAGCTCCACACATATATCTGTGGATTATCCCCTAGACTAGATGCATTTTGCATCCATGCACTCTCAGTCATAGCCTCTCCCAGACAGGATGCTCACTTCACTTATGCACTTCCTGCTGGGTTCTTTGTTAAGCTGGCTGCATCCTGCTTCCATGCATAACCTAACACGTCCTCCCTTAGGCAGGTAGCACATTCCAATCATAATACACCCCTAGGATGGCTTCACTCTTTTCCCATATACCTCCTACTGGCTGTTTCCCTATGCTGGCAGCACATTCCACCAATTAACTTCCTTTAATGTCTTGTTCTAGGTTTAATGTTCCCTGCACTGATGTACCCCCTACCCAGTCCTCCCCCTGTTTGGTTGGACTTTTAATCAATTCCTTCCAGGTTCTCCCTAGACTGGCTCCTCATACCACTCCTTCACTTTCTGCTGGGCCCTTCCTTATATTGGTGTACTTTATGCACCGACTGCTGTATAGATAGGAGTATATCTTAGAGTGGCTGTTTCTTTACCCATGTCCCTCAGGCAAATACTTGCCCTATCTAAATGCTCCCTCCACTTGTCAATATCATGGAAAATCCTCCCATTGGTAGCCTGCACCCTCCACCCAGGCTTCTCCTGTTTTGCCTTACCTACACTGAAAGATCCCTCAATTCAAGAACTTCCTACCGGGTTATCTCTAACTTAGCCGCTTTCTCCATCCATCCACCCATTTCCAAGCTCTTCTTTAGAATTGATGCTCTCTCCACCCATGCACATTCTGCCTGCCCTTTCTCAGGTCTACCTGTACCCTGCATCCATGCTTTCCTTATAGTACCTCATTTAGGCTTCTTGCTTCCATAGCCCAAGCACTTCTTGCAGGGGCCATTACATGGGTGACCGCACCCTGCATCTCTGCACATCTTTCCATGACTTTCTCTATGCTGAATGTGACTTCCATCCATCCACTTTCCAGTGGTCCTTCTCTAGGTCTGATGCTTTCTATATGCATGCACTTCTTGCCTGGACATTCCCTGATATAGCTGAACCTTAAAACCATGCCAGGGCTTCTCCTAGGCTGGAGGCTTCTTTCTCCCTTGAACATTCTGCTAAGATCTCCCCTGGGTTGGATATTACTTCCATCTATGCACCAAGTAACAATTGTCCTTGATTCTGGCTGCAACTTGCACTCATACATCTCCTGCCATGTGATTCCACAATCTGGTTGAACCCTTCACCCATGCATGTTCTGCCTGATTGTTATCTGAGCTGGTGGCATCAGGCACACATACACCTTTTTACTATATCTTTTCTTATGCTGGTTGCACCTGGAACCTATGCATCCTTGAGCTCCTGGGTGAGCTGCACCTTCACCCTTGCTCCGCCTTCCAAGTTTCCCACAAAGCTGGATTCTCCCTTTCCCCATAAACATCTTGCCAGTTCCTCCTCTAAGCTGGCTACAACCTGTATACATGCATTCCCTCTTTTGCCCTCAAGTTAGCTTGGTGTTTGCCCTACCCATGCACTACTTCCTCGGTGGTGAGCTAGGCTGTATGGTCTCTCTGCCACTGCACTCATGCGGATTACTCCTACTAGTTTGGAAGTGTCCTCAATCATGCCCCTTATAGGATGTCATTCCTTATGCTGGCTGCACAATCAATGTATAAACCCCTTGCCAATACCTCCTTTGGGCTAAATGCTCCTTTGAATCGTGCAAATATCTCTCTGTTCTCTCCTAGGCTGACTACACCCAGCACACATTAGTCTTATGCTGTGTCTGCTCTTAGACTGGTTTCATTCTTGATCAATGCACATATCCGAGTACATTTGGCTTTCAACAAACTGCACCACTGCCCTCCATGCCATGTATTTTACTGGATTACATCTCCTGCCATACCCTTCTTTAGGCTGGCTGAAACCACCACAAATGTATCTTCCATGGTTCCTATCCTAGACTGACTACATTCTGTATCCATGCCCACCTGTCATTTATTTCCCTGGGCAAGATGTTATTTCTTCCACCTCTACACCTCTGGTCAGCTTTACTGCTAGGCTGGCTGTACCATGCACCATTGCAACTCCTGCTGAGACTTTATCTAGGCTGGCTATTTCATCCACTCATACACTTTCTACTTATTACTTTCCTAGGTTGGCTGCACCCTGTACCAGCGCACCTCTTAGTATATCCTACTCTAGACTGACTTAACCTTTAACTATATACTACCTGCAAGATTTGCTCTATAATGAATGGCCCCTCCTCCAATACATTTCCTGCACGTCCTCATCTAGCCCTAGTGATTTCACTCCTGCATTTCTTGCCAGATCATCCCATAGGCTGAATATACCTTTCACCCATGAAAGACCTGCCAAGTGTCCTCTAGGTTGAATTCTTCATCCTCTCATGCCTGTTCTGCCAGGTCCTGCCTTAGGTTGTATGCTCCCTCCAACCATACACTTCTTGCTGATTCTCGTCAGGCTGTTTCCAACTTACATAATATAAATTCTACTGTTTCCTTCCCTAGGCTGACTATATCCTCCAAACATGCACCTCCTGCTATTCTCTCTTAGGTTAGATGCCCCAAACAATTATGCATGCCCTGAATATTTCTCACCTTGGGATGGAAGCTCCCTGAAACCATACCCTTCCTACCATATCCTCTCATAGACAATCTGCACATTCCACCCCTTAACACCCCTACCAAATCTTACCTCTGGATGCTCTCTCTACCAGTGGATTTTCTACTGTGACTTCCCCTGATTTGGTCATTTCCCCAACCACGATGCTCCTGTTGAATGCTCCACTGGCTAATGCTCCCATTCCCAATGCACTTCCTTCCAGGTCCTCTGCTAAGCTAACTGCAATCTGCATCCATACACCTCCTACTATTTCTCCTCCTAAGAAGGCTGCATTCTTAATTCTTGCACTACCTTTTTGGTCCTTTTGGCTGACTTTAACTGCATTCCTGAAGATCCTCCCATGTCCTCCCCTAGGCTGGTTACACCCTGCAACTGTGCACCTCCTGCCATATCTTCCCCTGGGTAGGTAGTACCTTCCACCTTTGCACTTCCTCTGAGTTTTGCCCTAGGCTGGCTGCACCCCACACCCATGCAGCCATTATCAGAGGCTTCTTTAGATAGACTCTACTATCTACTCAAGTACCTTTTACTGAGACTTCATGTGATAGTTAACTTTAATGTCACTTTGACTGGGCTAAGGAATTCCCATATTAAAACTTACTTCTGGGTGTGTCTGCAAGGTTTTGAGATGAATATCTGAGTCAATGGGCTCAGTAAAGCAGATTGCCCTTCTCAGTGTGGTTGGCCATCATCCAATCCATTGAAGACCCAAATAGAATTGATAGATTGAAGAAGGAGCAATTTGTCCCTTTTCTTCCTGCCTCACTGCTCAAGCTGGAACATTTCACCTCATCTTTTCCTGTGCTCAGGCTGGGATTTACACCATTTGCTCTTCTACTTCTCAGGCCTTTGAACTTGGATTAAAATATACCATTGGCTTTCCTGGGTTTCTAGTTTGCTGATGGCAGACCATAGGACTCCACAGCTTCCATAATGACATAAGCCAATTTCTCATAATAAATCTCTCTCCATACACACACAGCATCACCACCACCACCACCACCACACACACACACACACACACACACACACACACAAACACACATACACAGAGAGAGAGAGAGAGAGAAATAAGTTTGTGGAAAAAAATGAAATTAGAAGATAAAAATTCTAAAAATGTACTATATTACTTGTCTTAAGGTCCATCAAGTTCAAGACACCTTTTTAAACAATGATACCACTCATATAGTTCATCCCTAAAGAACAGAGGTTCCAGGAAATTTAATCATGTCAATGCAGTCTTTTTTATGGTTAACTAAAGTAAAATCTTTAAAGTTTTTTTTTAAGATAAGAAAACCAAAAGAAGCCAGAAAGAGCCAAATTAGGACTGTAAGGTGGATACTTTATAATTTCCCATCAAAACTCACAAAAATTGCTCTTATTTGGATAAGAAGAACGAGCAAGAGCATTGTCGTTGTGATGGTTAATATTGAGCGTCGACTTGATTGGAGGAAGGGTGCAAGGTATTGTTCCTGGGTGTGTCTGTGAGGGTGTTGCAAAGGAGATTAAAATTTGAATCAGTGAACTGGGAGAGGCAGACCCACACTCAATCTGGATGGGCAACATCTAATCAACTGCCAGCATGGCCAGAACAAAGCAGGCAGGAGAAGATGGAAGAGCAGACTTGCTGAGTCTTTCAGCCTTCATCTTTCTCCGACGCTGGATGCTTCCTGCCCTCGAACATCAGACTCCTAGTTCTTCAGCTTTTGGACTCTTGGACTCACACCAGTGGTTTGTCAGGGTCTCTTGGGCCTTTGGCCACAAACTGAAGGCTGCACTGTTGGCTTCCCTACTTTTGAGGTTTTGGGACTCGGACTGATCCACCACTGGCTTTCTTGCTCCTCAACTTGCAGATGGCCTATAGTGGGACTTTACCTTGTGATCGTGTGAGTCAATTCTCCTTAATAAATTCCCTCTCATATATATATATATTCTATTAGTTCTGTCCATCTAGAGAACCCTGACTAATACAGTCATGATGGAGAAGGACTCTCTGGTGAAGCTTTCTCAGGCATTTTTCTGCTAAAGCTTTGGCTAACATTCTCAGAGCACTCCCATAATAAGCAAATGTTATTATTCTTTGGCTCTCCAGAAAGTCAACATAGAAAATGCTTTCAGCATCCCAGAAAACTGTTGTAATGACCTTTGCTCTTAACTGGTCCACTTTTGCTTTGACTGGACCATTTTCACTTCTTCGTAGCCATTGCTTTAATTGGCTTTGTCTTCAGGATCATACTGGTAAAGCCAAGTTTAATCTCTTGTAAACATTCTTGGAAGAAATGCTTCAGGATCTTGATCCCATTTGTTTAAAATTTCCACTGAAACATTTGCTCCTGTCGGCAGCTGATCTGAGCACAATGGCTTTAGTACCCATTGAGTGGAAAGTTTGCTCAACTTTATTTTTCAGTCATAATTGTGTAAACTGAACTAACTGAGATGTCTATGGTGTTTGACTACTGTTAATGCGGTTAATCGTCAGTACTCTTCAATTAGGGCATGAACAAGATTAATTTTTTCCTTGAAAATTGATGCAGATCATCTGCTGCTATGAGCTTCGTCTTCAACATCATCTTGTCTCTTCTTCTTCTTAAAACTGGCTATCCATCTGTAAACTGCTGATATTTGGGGACATTGTTTACATTTTGTGAAGCATCAGTGATTTCACCATGCTTCCACTCATGCTTCAACATAAATTTGATGTTTGTTCTTCCTTTAATTTTAGCAGAATTCATGTTGCTCTCTGGTAGGGGCCCTTTTCACACTGATGCCTTATCCTTCTTAGTACCTCAAGCCAGATCTTGTTCAGACATGTTACAACAAAGTAGTGTGAATTTATTTTGTTGCAAAAAATGTTTGCATTTTTCCATATTTCATACTTTCCATGAACTTTGTGAAGATCCCTCATAAATATATATATATATGTATGTTCTGCTTCTCTGCAGAACCCAGGATAATATACCTCTCACTGCTTCCTAATCACATGTAAATGCTGAAAGATCCTCTCTTGAGCTGGCTGTATACTCCAATTTTACAAATCCACCAGAATCCCCCATAATCTGACTTAATTCTCTCATGCAATTTATTCCACTCCTATTCCAAGTCTGATGCTTTCTCCACCCCTGTACTTCATTCTGGGTCCTTCCCCAGACTGGTTACTTTCTGCACCCATACAAAAACTCATGGGACCTTCCCTAGGCTGAATTTTTTTTCATGCACTTCTTTCTGAATCTTATCCTGGGATGGGTGCTCCCTTGGTTCATGCACTTTATGCAAATTGTCCCCTAGGGAGTCTGATCCTTATATCTCTGCACCTGATCCCATGTGTTCTTTCAGGCTGAATGCATCCTCCACTCTAAAATCTTCTGTCAGATCCTACAAGAGGCTTTCTGTATCCTCCCCCATATATATCCTGTGGGTTTTAACCTCAGATAGCTGCAACTTCCACCCAGGCACTTACTGCCATATCCTCCACTAGGCTGGATGCTCTCTTCACTCATGTACTTCTTCCCAGATCCTCTTCTGATCTGGCTTATCCTGACACTGATGCAATACCCTGTTGTATCCTCCTCTAGAGTTGCTGCACCCTACAATCATGGACCTCTGGTCAAGTCCTCCTCTTGCCTGAATGCTACTTTCACCCATGTACTTCCTGGTAAGTCTTCCTGGAGGCTGGCTTCAAATTACACTCATGCACCTCCTGTCAAGTCCTCTCCTAGGCTAAATTCTTCCTCAACCTATGAACTTTCTGCCAGGTCCTCTGCTAGTCTGGATGCACCCTGAATTTGTATACCTCCTGAAATATCCTCCCTGAGGCTGGATACATTCTCAAGCCATGCACTACCTGTTCATTTTTACCTCAGGCTAGACTATCTGTCCACCAATGCACTTTCTCCTGGTTGCTCCACTAGGCTCACTACACATTCTACCCAGGGACTTTGCAAGTCCTCTCCTAGCCTGGATGCTTCCTTCACTAATGCAGCTCTTCTCAAATCCTCTCTTAGTACATATTTTCATTCCACTGATGCATTGTCTGAAATATCCTCCCTTTAGTTGGCTGAACATACCACACATGTACCACCTACTAGGTTTTCCCCTTTATGGATTCTTTCTTAGACCATGCATCTCCTACCAAGTCCACATCTAGATGGAGTGCAACATTTCCTCATGAACATAAATCTGTGACTTTTTCTAGATATACTGGAATCTCCACCATGCACCTTCTGACATTTCTCACCCTCAGTTGGCTGGATCCTCTATTATGAACATCCTGCCTGGTGTTTTCTTAGGCTGGGTATTCCTCTGACCCATGCAACTCTTGCCATGTCCCCTCCTAGGCTAACTACACCCTCTACTTACATACATCCTGCTAGGCTAGTTGGAACTGGTGCAATTTTACAGGAATTACCCCCTTGGGAAGATGACACCTCTATTCATGTTCTTCCTGCTAAATACTCTCCTAGACTGGCTGCAACCTCCACTAATTCACTACCACCCAAGAAAACCCTTATGTTAGCTGTACCTTCTACCGATGTACCTCTTTCCGGGTTCTTGCCTAGGCTGGATGGTCCCTACCCCCAATCAATTTTAGTGAACACTTCTCCTAGGAAGGAGAATTCTTCTGGTGCTCCTTCTACTGAGTCTTCACTGTGAATAGGTGCTTGCTTCACCATTGAACATCTTGTCATCTTTTCCCTGAGTCTGACTGCATCTCCCACCCATACACTCCCTAAACAGTGAAAATCTAGGTAAGCAGCAACTTTGTTTTCACTTTTATTTTAAGTTCAGGGGTACACGTGAAGGTTTGTTCATGGAGGGTTGTTGTACAGATTATTTCTTTACCCAGGTATTAAGCCCAGTACCCAATAGTTATCTTTTCTGCTCTTCTTTCTCCTCCCACCCTCCATCCTGAAGTAGACCCCAGTGTCTGTTATTTTCTTCTTTGTGTTTATAAATTCTGATCATTTAGCTTCCACTTAAAAAGTGAGAACATGCAGTATTTGGTTTTCTGTTCCTGCATTATTTTGCTAAGGATAATAGCCTCCGGTTCCACCTATGTTCCCACAAAAGACATGATCTCATTCTTTTATATGACTACATGGTGTATATGTACCACAGTTGTTGTTTTTTTAATCCAATCTGTCATCAATGTGCATCTGGGTTGATTCCATGTCTTTGTTATTGTGAATAGTGATGCAATGAACATCCGTGTGTATGTGTCTGTATGGTAGAATGACTTATATTCCTCTGGGTATATACTCAGTAATGAAATTGCTGAGTCGAATGGTAATTCTGCTTTTAGCTTTTTGAAGAATCACCATACTATTTTCCACAATGATTGAAGTAATTTACACTCCCGCCAGCAATGTACAAGAGTTCCCTTTTTTCTGCAACCTCACCAGCATCTGTAATTTTTTTTACTTTTTAATAATAGCCATTCTCACTGGTGGGAAATAGTATCTCATTGCGGTTTTGATTCACATTTATCTAATGATCAGTGATATTGAGCTCTTTCATATTCTTGTTGGCCTCATGTATGTCTTCTTTGAAAAATTGCTATTTATATCCTTTGTCCACTTTTTAATGGAATTGTTTTTCTCTTGTAAATGTGTGTAAGTTCCTTACAGATGCTGGATATTAGACCTTTGTCAAATGCATTCTTTGCAAATATTTTCTCCCATGCTGTAGGTTATCTGTTGACTCTGTTGATAGTTTCTTTTTCTGTGCAGAAGCTCTTCAGTTTGATTAGATACCACTGTCAATTTGGTGTCTTTGTCATGAAATCTTTGCCCATTCCTATGTCCAGGATGGTATTTTCTAGATTGTCTTCCAGGATTTTTATAGTGTTTTGGTTTTACATTTAAGTCTTTAGTACATCTTGAGTTGACTTTTGCATATGGTGTAAGAAAAGCATCCAGCTTCAATCTTTTGCATATGGCTAGACAGTTATCCCAGCACCATTTATTGTTAGGGAGGCTTTTCCCCATTGTTTATTTTTGTCAGCTTTGTTGAACAGCAGATGGTCATAGGTCATAGGTGAGTGGCCTTATTTCTGGGCTCCCTATTCTGTTCCATTGGTCTTAGTGCCTGTTTTTGTACTAGTACCATGCTGTTTTGGTTACTGTAGCACTGTAGTATAGTTTGAAGTTGGGTAACATCATGCCTCCAGCTATTAGGATTTTCTTGGCTAATCAGGCTATTTTTGGTTCCATATAGATGTTAAAATAATTTTTTCTAGTTCTGTGAAGAATGTTGTTTGTAGTTTGATAGGAATAGCATTGAATCTGTACATTGCTTTGGGCAACATGGCCATTTTAATGATATTAATTCTTCATATCTGTATTAGTCCATTCTCATACTGCTATAAAAAACAATCTGAGACTGAGTAACTTATGAAGGAGAGAGGTTTAATTGACTCACAGTTCTGCAGGCTGTACAGAAAACATGGCTGGGAGGCCTCAGGAAACATACAATCACGACAAAAGAACACAGGGGAGGCAAGCACGTCTTCATATGGCAGCAAAAGCGAGAGAGCAGAGGGGGAAGTGCCACATACCATCAGATCTAAAAACTCACTCACTATCATGAGAACAGCAAGAGCAAAATCCGCCCCCATGATCCAGTCACCTCCCACCAGCTCCCTCCCCCAACATTGGGCATTACAATTTAACATGAGATTTGGGTGGGGACAGAGAACATAACTTATAATTCCACCCGTGGCCCCTCCCAAAGACTGTGTCCTTCTCACATTTCAAAACATAATCATACATTCCCAACAATCTCGCAAAGTCTTAACTCATTCTAGCATTAACTTAAAAATCCAAGTCCAAAGTCTCATCTGAGGCAAGCCAAGTCCCTTCCACCTATGAGCATGTGAGATTAAAAACAAGATAGTTACATCCAAGATACTATGGGGGTACAGGCATTGGGGAAATGTTCACATTCCAAAAGGGAGAAATTGGCCAAAATAAAGGGGATATAGGCCCCATGCAAGTCCAAAACTCATCAGGACAGTTGTTAAGTCTTAATGCTCCAAAATAATCTCTTTTCACTCCATGTCTCACATCCAGGGCACACTGATGCAAGAGGTGGGCTCTCAAAGCCTTGGGCAGCTCCACCCCTGTGGCTCTGCAGGATAGAGCCTCCACAGCTGCTTTCATGGGCTGGCATTGAGTGCCTACAGCTTTTCCAGGCCCATAGGACAAGCTGTTAGTGGGTCTACCATTCTGGGGTCTGGAGGATGGTGGCCCTCTTCTCACAGCTCCACTAGGCAGTGCCCCAGTTGGAGATTCTGTGTGGGGACTTCAACTTTGCATCCCTCTGCACTGCCCTAGTAGATGTTCTCCATGAGGGATTTGTCCCTGCAGCAGACTTCTTCCTGGGTACCCAGGCATTTTCATACATCCTTTGAAATCTAGGTGGCTCCCAAACCTCAAGTCTTGCCTTCCGTATACCCACAGGCCCAATACCATGTGGAAGCCACCAAGGCTTGGGGCTTGCACCCTCTGAAGCAATGGCCAAAGCTGCACCTTGGCCCACTTTAGTCATTCCTGAAGTTGGAGCCCCTGGGATGCACGGTGCCATGTCCTGGGGCTGCATAGAGCAATGGGGTCCTGGCCCTGGCCCACAAAATCATTTTTCCTTCCTAGGTCTCCACACCTGTGATGAGAGGGACTACCACGAAGTTCTCTAAAATACCCTGGAGGCATTTTCCCCATTGTCTTGGCTATTAACATTCTGCTCTTCTTTATTTATGCAAACCTCTGCAGCCTTGAATTCCTAGCCAGAATTTTTTTTTCTTTTCTACTGCATGGTTGGGCTGCAAATTTTCTAAACTTTTATGCTCTTATTCCCTTTTAAACATAAGTTCTAGTTTCAGGCTATTTATTTGTTTATGAAAATTAGTGTAGGCTCACAGACCTCAGTGCTCAGTTCCTAGGAAAACTACATTTACTCTTAGCATCACCAAGGAACTAAGGTCTAGCAAGCATCAGGTTCTTGGAGTCTGTGTGCTAATTAACACACATCAGCCAGCAGCCAGTTAGCAAATCAAACTTTTACTGCATGCAAGGCACTGTGAGAGTTTCCACCAAGGACAGTAGATCTGAGAATAATCATTCTGAGATTCTATAGAGTAAAAATTTCCTAAGAATTCCTTGAATCACAGAATGGTAAGTGATCTCTAATATTTTGTCCAGCTCTAGGTTCCACCCCATAATTTTACAGAAGAGACAGACATGCAATTAAGATGACCTGCCTGGGGCCCACAACATTAGATCATTTCCTCATATAGCATGAATTTGACAAAGTTCACAGAAAATGGAACGTACTCACAGGGTGCCATCAAAACAAAAAGGCTGGCTCAGAATCAGGTAAGACAAATTTGTGGCAAGATAAGATCATTCATTTATATATATGGATATATATCAATTGTTTTAGTCCACATACTACATGAACAGGTATTAATAAAATCTATTCATTTGTGTGGAAAATTTCCCAACCATTTGCTATTTAAAGGAACCCAAATAATTTGACAGTTGTTGCAAAATATTTTTAAAGTATACTTTTATAGGCATAAGAGAATCTAATTTCAATAAATGTGAGCACTTATAATCAAATCAGCAAAAAGTATTTCCACTGTGTGAAACTGCTCCAGTTAATCAGGTGAATATAATTTCTATATCCTCCTAGGTCAATATAGTACATTTTAATACAATATTGTTTGGGAGCTTTATGTTCAAGTAGTGAGGTTTTATTTTTTTAAAATGGCAGCTTATTTGTAAACAAAATAAAAATGCTAATGATCTTTTAAAGCTTTCATACATTTGTTCAAAGACTTACACATTTTTAAACTTTATTCAAACTTCATCAAAAATGGTAGATAAAACAGTTTGATTGCTCAGATATTAGTGTTTACAGGCCATAATAATAATGTGTGCTTTGTCTGTGTAGAATCTGTCTATGCAGTTGGTATTCAGGCAAGAATTATAGCTGGAACAACAATGGAAATATTGGAGGACCCACTTTGGCATTTATGTGAAGATTTCATATCCTATCCAACATTTACTTTAGTGTCTAATCAAATTCCATACCCTCAAAAAGATCTGTTGGAACAAATTGATAAAATTAGGTGGAAAGGAAAGTGGTATGGGACTCAAATGCAAGTCACTTCTGGTTTAATTATTGGCTCTGCTGCTTAATTCCTCTGTACCTCACGTCCTCATCATTGAAGTGGGGACAATAATCTGGGCCTACCTCACAGGGGAATTGAGGATATTTTGATATATTAGTGTGCTTTGAAGTTGACTGAAAGATATACTGGATATCATAATTATATAATTTCTAAATAGATTTCTTTAAATCCATGCTATGTTTTCTTTCTCAGTCAGGTCCTACAGAATGACTGTTGCAGTTGATCTATTATTTTAATAGTAAATTTTGTTATTAATTCCCTATGTGTTAAACGTGGGTAATTGTATTAAGTTAATACATATTTAGGGAGGAAAAGCAGGTGGATATAAATCAGTGGTTCCCAGCTTCAGCAGATGATAGCAGTGGAGGGTATCCTTGAGCTTTTTGTAATATTTCAAAAAGTATATTAGAAATTATACATTTACCCATAATATTCCTGCTTCACAAGCCAATTAAGACATTGAATTTCTATGCATTTTGCCTATGTGCTCTCAATTCTGTGTTATCACTGCTTGCTTATCAACAACTGATCAAAAGCTGTGAATGGCAGTATGTTTTTGATTAATAATAAAATAAGAAAGCCTATTATGTGCAACCTATTAAATACTTGGAAACATGGGAAAAGAATAATGAAGGGATTCTTGTGGTCAAATGTTGGGAACCACTTTTATAAAGGAACTAAGATTATTTGACCCTCTCCACAGGTTGCTTACCTAGTCTCTAAATAATGAAATGTGTGTGTTTGTGTGTTTTGGCTATATTAGGCTATATAACTTCAGGTTAGAATTTGCCTTCAGTTTTTTTTTCTGTTTTAGAATATAACTGGCCTAATTTATTTAGGTGTATACATGTTGCTCATACATACACACACATATAGGATTACAAATGTGGAAAATGCTATAATGTCATATTCTAGCATTGAACTAAATATCAATTTCTGACACTTAAAGTAGTTCTGTATATAAATTCAACATGATGAATCAAGGCAATAATTTCTCAAATGCTCTTTTATTTCTTTGTTTGTTTTTATCTCGACTTTTTTTATTTTCCATTTTTTCTAGTATGCAAATAGTGTAAAATTGTTTTAATGCCTGGACTTTGAAACAAGTAACAAGTGTTCGAAAGTATATAATCTAAGAGCGAATTTGCCCTCCTTGGACTAACCACATACAAATATGAATCTGGCTGCAAGAACAGGATATCCAGGTAACCAGAAAGTGGGCATTGATAAAAATATCTGGTGAAGAAGCCTAGGATTTTGACTTTTTGTCAGAGGATTCCTGTTGGGACAGCTTTACCAGAAAAGAATAATAGTGGATATGTTCATCCAAACTAAGAACTTTCATGCATCTTGCATTGTTACATAGCCTGTGGAATGAATTCATTTTTTCTCCCTTGAGTCCAGGAATGACTTCCCTGGAAAAACTCAATCTATATACAGCTATGCCAAAATGAAGGATACCTGCCTCTCTGAAACTTTCACTGCTGCTTCTGCCATTGTTCATTTGTCAGATTAAATTTTATTATCTCAGGATGCAAATTTAAAATAAAGTGTAAATCTATGTTAATGAAAAAAAAAGAAAATTAGTGTAGGCTTTTAGAAGCAGCCAGGCGAATTCCTGAAAGCTTTACTGCTTAGAAACTTCTTCTGCCAGATACCCTAAATCATCTCTCTCAAGTTCAAAGTTCCACAGATCTCTAGAGCATGGTCCCAATGCCACCAGTCTCTTTGCTAAAGCATAGCAAGAGTGACCTTTACTCTAGTTCCCAATAAGTTCCTCAGATCCATCTGAGACCACCTCAGCCTGGACTTCATTTTTCATATCTCTATCAGCATTTTGGTCACAACCATTCAACAAGTCTTTAGGAAGTTCCAAACTTTCCCTCTTCTTCCTGTCTCTTCTGAGCCCTCCAAACTGTTCCAACTTCAGCCTGTTACTCAGTTCCAAAGTTGCTTTCACATTTTCAGGTATCTTTATAGCAATGCTCCACTTCTCTGGTACCAATTTTCTGTATTAGTCGATTCTCACACTGCTATAAAGAACTACCTGAGACTGAGTAACATATGAAGGAAATAAGTTTAATTGAAAAAAATTTTGCTGTCTGTACAGGAAGCATGGCTGGGAGGCCTCAGGAAACTTACAAGCGTGGCAGAAGGGCAAAGGGGAAGCAAGCATGTCTTCACATGGAGGCAAGAGAGAGAGTGAAGGGGAAAGTGCCACATAATTTTAAGACATTAGATCTCCTGAGAACCCACTCACTATTATGAGAACAGCAAGGGGGACATCCACATCCATGATCCAATCACCTCCCAGCAGGTCCCCTTTCCAACACTGGGAATTTTATTCAACATAAAATTTGGGTGGGTACACAGAACCAAACAATAACACTATCCATGAGCATGGGATGTTTTTACATTTGTTTTTGTCTTCCCTGATTTCTTTGAGCAGTGTTTTGTATTTCTCATTGCAGAGATCTTTTGCCTCTCTAGTTAGCTGTATTCCTAGGTATTTTATTCTTTTCATGGCAATTGGGAATGGGATTGCCTTTCTGATTTGTCTTTCAACTTGGCTGTTGTTGGTGTATAGGAATTCTAATAATTTTTATACGTTGATTCTTGCATCCTAACACTTTGCTGAAATTATCAGCTTTTGGGCTGAGACTATGGGGTTTTCTAGACACCAAATCATGTCTTCTGCAAACAGATATAGTTTGACTTCCTCTCTTTCTGTTCAAATATCTTTTATTTATTTATCTTGCCTGATTGTTCTGGATAGGAATTTCAATACTATGTTGAATAGGAATGGTGAGAGAGGGCATCCTTATCTTGTGCTGGTTTTCAAGAATGCTTCCAGCTTTTGGCCCTTCAGTATAATGTTGACTATGGATTTGTCCCAGATGGCTCTTATTAGTTTGAGGTATGTTCCTTCAATACTTAGTTTATTGAGAGTTTTTTACATGAAGCAATGTTGAATTTCATCAAAAACCTTTTCTTCATCTATTGAGATAATCATGTGGTTTTTATCTTTAGTTCTGTTTATGTGATGAATCACACTTACTGATTTGCATATGTTGAACCAACCTTGCATCCTGGGGATGAAGCCTACTTGATTATGGTGAATTAGCTTTTTGATGTGCTGCTGCATTCAGTCTGCAAGTATTTTGTTGAGGATTTTTGCATGGATGTTCTTCAAGGATATTGGCCTAAAGTTTTCTTTTTTTTTTCTGTGCTTCTGCCAGGTTTTAGTATTAAGATTATACTGGCCTCATAGAATGAGTTTGGGAGGAGTTTATCCTCCTCAGTTTTTTGGAATAATTTCAGAGTGACTGCTCTGCTGAGACTCCACATAGTTCTGTATGTCAGACAGAAGGCCCTGGTGGAGCAAGTTCATCTTGACCTAAGGGTTGCAAAGATCTGTGGGAGAAGCATGGGTTCTGGGGGTCACACATTCACTCACCACTTCCCTTGGCAAGGGAGGTACCCTTGGCTCTGTGTCTCTCCTGGGTGGGTCGTCTTTCTGCCTTTTCCATTCTCCATGGGTCAAGTTGTTTCCTTCATTAGTCCCAATGCAAGTACCTGGATGTTTCAGTTGAAGGTGCTATATTTAATCACCATTTCTGTTTCTCTCTGTGAGACCCACACACATTAGCTGCTTCTAGTCAGCCATCTTGGCCACCTCCCACAACTTTCATTTGTGTAATTCCTGTCAGATATTCCTTTAGGCTGGATACAGGTTCCTTTCATTAATTTTCTTCCAGTTTTTTTTCCCTCAGCTGGCAGCACAACCCATGAACACAGTTCCTGAAAGAGCTTGTCATAGGGTGGATGTGCTATTCACCGATGCAGTTACTGCCTCACCAACACCGCTCCCAATAGCTCTGGTATACCCTACAATCATGCATTTCCTGAAGATTCCTCCCTAGACATGTTGCATCTTCCATGCATGCACCTCATGATTAGTCCATGCTTTAGCTTGATGCTTCCTCTACCCATGCAGTTTATTATTTGTCCTCCCCTTTGCTGGTGACACCCTTCACCTATGCACACCCTGCATAAGCCACTGGTAGACTGGTTTTTCCCTAAACCCACGGACCTGGTCCTAGGTCTTCCTATAGGCTGAATTTTCCCTATGCCTATGAAAGTTGTCCCAGGACTTCTTCTAGGCTCTTTGAATTAGCCTAACTTACATATTTTGTGAAATTCTTCATTATACTGTATATTTCATCCATCCATGCACTTCCTGTGGTCATCCCCTGGGCTGGTTGGATTCTGCACCCCTGTATCTCTTGCCTTTTCCCAATAATAGTATGGATGCACATGTGACCCATAGACCACCTGACAATTTTTCACCTTATCTAGATTCACAATTCACCATGCACAAGCTGCTAGAACTTCCTTTGGGCTTGTACACTCTCCATAATGTACCTCCTTCTAAGACCTCCCTTTGCCAGGATGCCTTCTACGTTCATCTCCTGCCATATCTTCCTGTAGACTGGCTACAGCCCTAGTCCAAGTATCTTATGTGAGCTATCCTCTAGGCGGACTGAATTTTACACCCATGTACCTGCTGCCATATCTTCCTGTAGACTGGCTACAGCCCTAGTCCAAGTATCTTATGTGAGCTATCCTCTAGGCGGACTGAATTTTACACCCATGTACCTGCTGCCATATCTTCCTATTCGCAGGATGCTCTCTCCACCTATGCAAGTCCTGCAGTGTTCTTCACCTAGGCTGACTGCTCCGCAAGCCATAAGCTCTCTGTCAGGTCCTGTATAAACTAGCTACACCCTCCACCCATGTATCAGTTGCTGATCCTTCCTTAGGCTAGGTATTTCTTCCACCTATGAAACTCCTGCCATGACCTCTCCCAGATTGTTTGCACCATCAACACACATACTTACTCCTAACTCCTCCTTTACATTGGGTTCTCTTGCCAACCATAAACTTTCTGCTGTATCCCCCCCATACCCTGACTGTAACCTCAACATATGTACTACTGCCAGGTACTACACTACACTGAATATTTTCTCCCACTACGTATCACCTGCCTGGTCATTCCCTAGGCTTGATTTTCAATGCTCTTATGCACCTCTAACAGGTTCCTCCCCTTAGGCTGAAAGCTTCCTTAACCCCCACACATCTAAACAAATTCTTCGCTAGACTGATTGCACATTCCATCCATGCACATATTGCTGACCCTAGCCTACATGCTCCCTCTATCTATGCCCTTGTAGAAAGATTCTCCCCTAGGGTGGCTCTGCCCTCCATCTATGCAGCACCTCCTGAGTTCTACCCTTGGCTGTGTGCTCCCTCCACCCATGAACTTCCTGATGAGTCCTGCACTATATTGCTGCATACTGCATCCATGTACCTCCTATAATATTAGGCCCTAGTCAGGATAGTTTCTGTATTTTTGTAAGGTTGGCCACGTTTTCTCCTTAGGTGGATATACCATCAACGGTGCCCTTATTTTCAAGTACTCCTACAGGCCGAATGCTCCCAGCAATGGCAAACAATATTAATACCCTATCTGAATGATACCTCTTACCCCTATCTTCTGCCAAGTCTTTCCCTAGGCTAGCTACACACCCCAAAGGTGAACTCCCTGCAAGGTTTTATCCTAGGCTTGAAGTTCCCTTTATCTTGGACTTCATGCTAAGTACTCTAACAGGAGGCCTGCACCCTGGATTCACCTCCTATCTCTTTCTCCCCTACACTAGATTATCCTTTAAACCTTGCACCTACTTCCTAGTCTTGTCTAGAATGGCTGCACCATCTACTCCCACATCTTTTGCCAAGTCTTCCTCCAGTCTGGATGCTCATAGGGTTTGGCTGGGTCCCCACCCAAATCTCACCTTGAATTGTAATAATCCCCACATGTCAAGGGTAGTTCCAGGTGAAGATAATTGAATAATAGGGGCAGTTTCCCCCATACTGTTCTTGTGGTAGTGAATAATATCTGATGGTTTTATACATGGGAATTTATACATGGGAATTCCCCTGCACAAGCTGTCTCTTGTCTGCTACCATGTAAGACTTGACTTCGTACCTCCTTTGCCTTCCACCATGATTGTGAGGCCTCCCCAGCCATGTGGAACTCTGAGTAAATTAAACCTCTTTTCTTTATAAATCACCCAGTCTCGGGTATGTCTTTGTTAGCAGCGTGAGTTGCAGATGCTATATCCATCCTCACTCCTATTGCTGATTACTCTCCTAGCCTGCATGACACCTCAACTTGCTTCTGTACCCTCCCTGTTTTATTGCTATGCCCCCAACTACCTTGTCTACACTCTCCATCTATGTATCTCTTGCAGATCTTCCCCTATGCTTGTTGCTTCCTCCAATCAGGTAACTCCAGCCATACTCTCTCCTCGGCTGGCTCTATTCTCTTTTTCCTCCGATGATTGAATGCTTCCTCCACCAGTGTACCTGCTGAATATTCCTCCACTAAGCTGAATCTTCCGTTCACCCACGCACTTACGGCTTAATCCTATTTAATCTTTATGCTTCCTTCACTCATGCATCTATTTCCGATTATTCCCTTAAGCTGGCTGGACCTTCCACCAAAACACTGACTACAGAATCTTCCCCAGTTTTGGTGCACTTTGTATTTATAAACTTCTTGCTGTCTCCTTCTCTGCAGCCTCCATTCATGCATACCTTACCATGTTATATCCTAGTCTGGAAGCTTCTTATACCCATGCACTTCTTGCTAGATCCTTCTCTAAGGTAGATGTACCCTTCATTCATGTACTTCCCACCATGTCTTTGCTTAGGATGACTGCACCCTCCACCTATGCATCCCCTGTGAGGTCTTACCCTAAGATGAATAATCCTTACATTCATGCACTGCTATAGACTGAATGTTTATGTCCACCCCCCAAATACATGTTAAGTTCTAGCGCCCAGTGTGATGGTATTTGGAGGTGACAGTTTTGAAAGGTAATTAAATCAGGAGGGTGGAGCTTTCATAAATGGAATTAATGCTTTTTAAAACAGGCCCTGGAGATCTCTCTTGGCCCTTGCACCATGTGAGGTTATAGCAAGGAGACTGCTGTCTATGAAGTAGGAAGCGGACATTCACTGGACACTGAATATGCTGGTGCCCTGACTATGAACTTCGTAGTCTCCAGAACTGTGAGAAATATACTTATGTTGTTTATAAGCCACCTACTTTATGGCATTTTGTTATAGCAGCCCAAATAGACTAAAATATGTGTCAAAGGCCAGGTCCTCTTGCTAGCTTGGCTACCCTCCAATCATGCACTTTCTGTAATGTTCTCCATTAGACTTGCTGCATTCTAAGCTGAGCAGATGCAGGTGCCATGCTTTCTGTGTAGCCTGAAGAACCATGAGCCAATTAAACCTCTTTTCTTTATAACTTAACCAGTCTCAGGTATTTCTTTATAGCAATGCAAGCATGACCTAAAACAGTAAGACAGAACATGAAAGGAAATCCATGGGTTAATTGTGCATCCAGCCTCTGGTAGGACGTAGTAGGAGGGGCATATCACCAGGGAATATATCCCCTAGGGTAGGAGTTGGTAGGAGGGGAAAGGGGAGAGAAAGCTTCCAGCCTGGGGTAAGATGCTACAGAAAGTGCATGAATGGAGGGCACAGTTAGTCTAGGGGAGTAGTCTACAGGGAGTAAATGGGTGAAGGGAACATCCATCCTAAGGAAAATCTGGTAAAGTCCTTTTAGTGTACATTGCAAGCAGAATAAGGGAGGACCCAGTGGAAAATATATGGGCAGGAAAGTGTAGGCAGACTCGTGGCTGACTGCACTTTTCAATATGTCCACTCCACCCAATATGTCCAACCAAGACCACTAATCACATGTGGCTCGTCCCACCACATGTTTATTATTCCTTGTAGAGTGCTCCAGTAGGCTGACTGCTACCTGGAATCATGAATATCCTGCTTGGTCCTACACTAGGCTGAAAGCAAAGTTTACTAATTCACCCTCTTCTGGGTCCTCCCTTAGTTGAGTGCTTTCTCCAACTATGTACCTGCTAGATACAAATTGACAACATACTCCATCCATGTACCATTTGCTGAGTCTCACCTAGGTATTGTGCTTCCTGCATCCATGCAAATAGCTGCCAAGTGCTCCTCTATGCAAGATTAATTTTCTTTCCATATACTACCTGATGAGACTTCCTTTAGGCTTGGTATACCTCCTACTCATACACTTCATGGAGATCTTTTCCTAGTTTTTTCTACTTTTCCTACTTTTTTTCTACTTTTCCTACTTTTTCCTACTTTTGTAGTCTTCCTGTGCCTTCCACTAATACAGATCTTCCCGTGTTCCCCATAGACTAACGCTCCCTTTAGACATACACATCTTGTCAAGTCCATCCCTAGGCTGTCTGTACCCTCTAATAATCCATCTTCTACTCTGCCTTCCTTGAGTCTCCCAGACTTAAGCAATCCTCCCATCTCACAGACTCAAGCAATCCTCTCACCTCAGCCTCTCCAGTAGCTGGGACTACAGGTGGGTGCCACCATGCTCAGCTATTTTTATTTTTATTTTTCCAGAGATGGGATTTCAACATGTTGCCCAGGCTGGTCTTGAACTCCTAAGCTTGAGCAATCCTACCACTGCAGCCTCCAAAAATGCTGGGATTACAGGGTGAGCCACCGTGCCTGGCCCCTATTATTTTCTTATAATGGATGCTCCCACCACCCATGCACTTCCTCCTGATTCTTCCTAAGGCTGGCTGAAACTACCTGGTCCAGCTTTAGAATGGATGCTTCCTACACTTATACACTTCCTGCAGGTTATTTGCATTAGGATGGAAATCCCTCCAGCCCTGCCTCTGCTGATATGTCCTCCCATATGGTGGCACACCCTCCACTGATACATCTCCTGCCAAGTTCTCCCTTATGTGGGATGCTGACTCCGCGTATATACTTCCTGCTGGATTGTCCCCAGAGGGTGACTGCTTTCTGCATCCATGCAGCTCTCACAGTCTTCTCCCCTTAGCTGAATGCTCCCTCCAATCATGTACTGCATCCAGGTCTTCTAAAAGGCTGACTGAATCCCACATATATGCACCTCCTCCTATGTCAGCCCTAGGATGGCTGCATTCTAGACCTTGCACTTCCTACAAGATCTTCCACAGTGACTGCATACTGCAACCCTGCATTCCTCCCATGTCTTACATTAGGCTGGATGCAACATCCTTCCATGCATCACCTGCAGAGTCCACCCTGGTCTTCATTCTCCTTCCAGTGATGCATGGCCTGCAGGATCCTCCCCTAGGCTCACTGCACAAATCAATCATGCCTCTCAAGACTCTCCTTAAACTGAATGCTCCTTCCACTAAACTCTGACCACATTCTCCCTTAGGATAGCTGAAACTTAAAGCCATGCTTCTACAGCACGTTCTTTCATGAGCTGCTTCCATTTTCACCCACACACCTCCTGTCATATTCTACCCTATTCAGGATGCTCTCTCCACCTATGTACGTCCTACATTGATGTATCTTAGCATGTATGAACCCTCCACTCATGCATGGCCCTCAGGTCTTCCCCTTTGCTAGATGCTCATACCACACATGGTCCTGTTGTGCCCTGACCTAACCCGTCTACAACATCCTTATTATCCTCCTTTAGCCACAGCTTCCCATGGGCTAGATGCATACCTCATCCACCCATGCACTTACTGCAAGATTTTTCTCCCAATGTTGACAGCTTTATGCACCCATGCACTAACTGCAGAGTCTACCTACCTGTTGGCTGGATGCTCCCCCAACTATGCACTTTCTCCATGTCTTCTCCTAGCCTGACTGCACACTGTACCCAAGCATCTCCTAATATGTGCAGCCCTAGCTTGACTGCATACTTGACTCATGCAACTCCTGCAAGTTCTTCCTCTATACCGACTGCACTTTCAAACAGGTACCTCCTTTCACATCTTCACAATTTCTCACTTCCATCTATACACTTCCAGTAGAATCTCTCCTCAAAGGTTGCTGCTTCCTGTATCCATGCACCTCTTGCAGAGTCCTCATCTTGGCTAGATGCTCTATCCTACAATGCATCCCATCTTAATTCTTCCCTTAGTTTTATCTATCTATCTATCTATCTATCTACCTATCTATCTATCTACAGGGTCCCACTTTGTCACCCAGGCTGGAGTGCAGTGGCACGATCTCAGCTCACTGCAGCCTCAAACTCCTGGGCTCAAGCGATCCTTCCACTTCAGCCTCCCAAGTAGCTGGGACTACAGGTGTGTGCCACCATGCCCAGCTAATTTTTATTTTGTAGAGACAGGGTTTTACCATGTTGCCCAGGCTGGTCTCAAACTCCTGGGCTAAAGCAATCTGCCTGCCTTGGCCTCCCAAAGTGCTGGGATTACAGGCATGAACCACTGTGCCTGTCCTCTTTCCCTAGTTCAGCTGCATCATTCCTCCCATGCACCTCTTGCTGCCAACTCCTGTAAGCCAGCTCCACACTCCACTAATTCACTTCCTGCCCCTCCCCTGCCTGCCTCAGGCTGGCTTCAATCTTAACTCATGAATCTTCTGAGGATCAACATTTAGGCTGAGTGTTCTCTCTAGTCTTGTCTCCTGTCCTCTTCGACACTAGCAATACCCATGAGCAATACACCTACTGCCAAATTATCCACTATGCTGGATAGCCATGCACTACCACAACTTTTCTCCTTAGTCTGTATGCTGTTTCCACTAATGCATTTCCTCGCAGGTCTTCCTCCTAGCCTGGATGCACCATTCACCCATACATTTTTCTATCATGTCCTCCAATACACTGGATGATCTCCCATCACTTGCATTTCCTTCTGAGTTATCCCTGCACATTCCACCCAGGAACTTTATGCCAGGTCATACCCTAAGCTGGATGTTGTCCTCACTCATGCTTCTCCTGCTACTCCTTTATGCTGGATGCATTTGTGACCCATGCACCTCTCCCAGTTATCTCTGACCTTAACCCATGAGTCACCTGCCAAATTCTTCCCTAAGTTGGCTCCAGCTTTCACCCATGCACTTTCTGTCAGATCCTATCCTAGATATGCCATGACTTCAATCTATTTACTCCTTAATAAGGTCAAATTAAGGAAAGATGCTTTGTCTACTCAAAGATCGTGTAGAAGGCCCCAGCCCCCATTATCTTCATCCTGAATGTACCCTCTACTCATGCACTCCTTACCAAGCCTTTCTATAGGATGGCTGTTCTATCCAATCATGAATTGACACAATGATCCTCTCCAAGCCTGAATACTTCTTCCAATCATGTACCTCAAGCAATGACTTCTCCTAAGTTGACACCCTTGACCTATGTATGTGGTGTCCTTCCCTCAGCTAGAAGCTCCCTGTACCTATGGAGTCCTGCAATTAAAACATACACCCCTAGAATAGATACTATCTCCACCCTTGAACCTCCAGTTGTGCAGTTGACTGCATCCACCACTGATGCATTTCTGGTTGAGGTTTCTACTATCTTGTCTGTACCTTCCAGTCCTATACCTCTTGCCAAGTTCTTCCCTAGGCTGACTACATCCTCCACTGATGCATTTCCTGCTGGGCCGCACCCTGTGCTTCGTGTAACTTCCAACTATGCACCATGTGCTAGATCTACCCATAGGCTGGAGGATCCCTCCACCAATGGACCTCATGCCAAGCACTCTCATAGGCTGCCTGCACACTTCATGGTACATTTCTTGCCTTTTCATCCCTTATACTGGATGATCCTTCCAACTACAAACCTAGTGCCTTGTCCTTACCTAAGCTACATGTTTGTTTTACCATGCACCCTTGCCGAATCTTGCCAAATCTTCTACTGTCCTGGGTGTAATCTCCCCTGAAATTACTCCTGGGTCCTGTCCTAGGCTGGATGCATTTTCATGCCCATGTAGTTCCTCCACCGATGCAATTCATTTCAGGTCCTCTCCTACCCAGCATGAACCCTCCTGAAGGGTCCTAATTTAGGATCAATGCTCCTTCCAACCATGCATGCCCTCCAAGTTTTCCACTAGGAAGGCTGCAATCTCTTCTCATGCAAATCTCCCTGAACCTTTCTCCAGTCTTGTTTCTCCCTCCTTACACATTCCTACTTTAGAAACCTCTTTTAGGAAGGATTCTAGCTTCATCCATGCAGATCCTGTTGGTTTCTACCTTTGGTTGGCAGAAACATACACACAGGTACTGCATGATAATTACTCGACTATGCTGGATGTATTCTCAACAGCTGCCTGGCCCTGCATTCTTCACCTATGCACCTCCAACACCATCCTCCATTATTTGCGATGCACTCTGGAGCCACGTAACACGTGATACATCTACTCTGGGATTAATGTTTCCTCCTTGCATGCATCTTCTGCCACATTCTGCACTAGGCTGGATGCTGTCTCCACCCATGCAACTATTTTTGCAATCTTCTAGGCTGACTCCGCTTTGCAGTGATGAATCTGGTGACATATTTTTCATGTCTGGCAGCACCTTCCACCCATGCACCTCTTTCCTATGTCCACCCATAGGTTAGTTGCATCTTTCACCAATGCACCTCCTACCTATCCTCCACTAGTCTGACAACAGCCTCTGTCTATACATTTCCTGATGAGTTCTCCCTTAGGCAGGATACTCCTTCTACACATACAATTTCTCCCAAGTCCTGCTCTAGAATAGTTGTAACTTCCACACATGAACTGCCTGTCTTATATTCCAATAAGCTAGGTGTTACCTCCACCCATGAACTAACTACTGGGACCAGCCACTGACTGGATGACCTGTATGCATATAGGTCTCTAACCTAGTTCATTGAACCCATTCCCCTCCTACCATGTCCTTCCTAGGCTTGATCTCCTTTCACTTATACACCTCCTGCCTGGTCATTCTCTAGCCTGACTGTGTCCTGTTTTTGCACATACTAAGAGACTTCCCTTTTTCTATCTTCTCCATATGCACATGCATTTTTGCAATTCCTCCCTGAGGCTATACCTTGCACCAAAACACCTCCAAATATGTCCTCTGATAATGTGACTGCATCCTGCACCCACACATCATCTGCTATGCTTACTCTAGGCTGAATATTCATTTCAAAATATACTTTCTGCCATCTGCCCTCAGGCAGCGTGCTCCCTATATACATGCACTTCCTTCTGCTTCCTCTCCCAAATTTGCTTAAACCTCCACACATGCACTGACTGCATGCTAGGTACTCTGCTAAGCTAGATGTTCCCTCCACTCATGGACCAAATACAGGGCACTGCCCAAGGTTGGATCTTTCCACCACACATATATGACCTGCAGATGTTTCGACTTAGACTGGAAACTTCCTCAACCATGAGCCATGTAACGTGTCCTCCCCTAGACTTGATGCTTCCTCCACTTGTGCACTTCTTATTGGGTCTTCCTCTAATTTGGCTGTATCCTTCACCTCTGCACCTCCTGTTGTGATACCCTCTACATGGTTACTCCTGTCATCCATACATTTCCTGACACATCTTACCTGAGACTGGCTGTACCCTACACAGGAGTGCCTCTTAGTATATCCTCTCATACAGGCTGCCTGTACTCTGCATCCATGCAACACCAGCCATATCTACTCTGGTTTGAATGTTCCCTCCTTGCATGTAATTCCTGATGAGTCTCCCCTAGGCTGGAGGCTGCATCCACCCACACTCTTTCTGTCAGGTCATCATCTAGTCTGACTGCAGCTTACAACATACCCACTCTAATGTCTGTCCCTAGAATGGCTGCAACCTCATTCAATTCACCACTAGACTGGCTGCACTCTGTACCTATGCACCCCCTTCCAGTATTCCACTAGGTGGAAAGTTTACTTCTCCCATACAACTCCTGGCAGCACACTTCTAGGCCTGATTTTATGTCTCCCTGTGTACTTCCTGTTGTGTCCTCTCTTAGGTTGCACCCTACACATATGCACCACCTGCTTGGCTTTGTTTAGGTTGAATGCTACCTTCTCCATGTAGCATGCCAGGTCCTGCCCTAGGCTAGACAGTTTCTCTATCCATGCACTGCCTAATTAACTGGATTCCTGTATAAGCTGCACTCTGCAACAATGCAGCCACTTTTGTGTCCTTCCCTAGGTATGAAACACAATTTACCTTTACAACTCTTGCCATATCCTCCTTTAAGCTGGCTGCAGGATCAACCTATGCTTCTCTGGGCAAGTCTTCCCCTAGGTTGAATGTATTATGAACCCCCTGCCATATCTTCTTTTAGGAAAAATGCTCCCTCCACCTATACACTTTCTGACAGAACCTCTACTAAGCTGGTTATACTATCTAACTTTGCACCTCCTGCTGCGAACTCAATAGGCTTATTGGTCCCTCCATCCATGCACATTCTACTCGGTGCTCTCCATGTCTGGCTGCAACTTGAACCAATTAATCTTCTAATATATGCTTCCCTAGGCTAGCTTCACCCTGCACCTGTGCATCACTTGCCAAGTCTCTTGTAAAATATATGCTCTCTTTTCCCATCCAACTCCTGCTTTACCTCTTCTAGGACTGGTTTTCTCTACCTATGCAATGTTTGCTCTCCCCTACCCCACCCCTGTAGTTCAGCTGAATGCTGCAACCATATACCACCTGCCTATATACAACTATATACCACCTGCCTAAGTATGTTCTAAGCTGAATGCTACCCCCTCGCATGCATCTCCTGCCTTATTTTGCTTATTCCCCTCCACCCATGGACTTCTTGCCAGAATTATCCAAGGCCACTTGCATCTCATAACCAGGCACCTGCTACTATGTACTAACTATTCTAAGTTAATTTCATCCCCTCCCATGCACTTTCTGCTGGTTTCTCTCCTAGGTTGGCAGTGCTATCCATCAATGCACCAATTGCAATATCCCACCCTAGAATGGCTTTAATCTCTATACATAAACTACTTGCAGGGTACTCCACTAAACAACACGTATCCTGCACCCATGAATTATCTGCCATGTTCTCTGCTATGCTGCCTGAACACTCTGCTAACACTGCTTCTCAGGAGACCTGATCTAGTCTATATAATGCACCCAAATATGCACTACCTGCCATGTCCCCTTGTCTTGATGAAACCTCTGCTCATGAACTTTATGAAACAAACTTCTTTTACTATATAACAGAAGGCAGTGGTGCAAGTCGAAGCAAGGTGCTCACGTAAGTTAGGTCCTTAATCTCCCGCTGAGACTCAGAGAAAGAGCTGGAGTTATCACCCTATATGTTTGGATTTCAAAGAAAGAGCTTTCAGATCTTTGAGGAAACAGTTTAGAGTAGCAGATTAACCACTCAAAGGACAGAGAAAGGATTTACAATCTCAAGCCTTCTAAAGTAATTGCTCTAACGGGGGTTTGAGGGCCTATCTGTCTATTACCAGGTTTTGGTTGGAATAAACAGTAAATTCTCCTGGTAACATCAAGCTTTCTCAGGCAGGCATTTCATGGGCAGGGGAGCTGAGGTCATCTTAGGGACATGGTGTTAAGCTGCTAGAAATAATCCTAGAGTTTTTTTTTTTTTTAAGTTTCTTAGCGAAGAGGTATGGAGAGACTTTAAGTATTTGCTGCAGCCTCAATTGTTACACCCCAACCCAGGTGCTGCCTACACCTCTGCACTTATTGCAATATCCTCCCTTAGGCAAGATGTATACTCCATTCACGCATTTCCCACCATCCTTTGCTTTGGTTGTCTGCATCCTTCAATCATGGATCTTCTATTGGGTCTTCCTCTAGGATGGATAATCTCTCCACTCATGTACCAACTGCCAGATCTTCCCCTAGGCTTGCTGTGCTTCAGTCATGCACTTCCTGCCACATCCTTTTTAAGCTGCTCCACCCTAAACCCACACACCTTCTGATAAGTTCAACTTTAGACTAGCTACTCCATTTTCTCTTGTGCATTCTGCTAGGCCCTGCCCTAGGCTGCTTGCACCATATATTAATGAACCTTTGGAAGAGAATTTCACAACAATGGATGCCCTCTTCACTCACGCTCTGCTGGATTCTTCCTCAAACTTTCTGGACTTTCCACTCAGGCATTTCCTGACATATCCTGCCCTTGGATGGCTGCACCATTCACCAGTCTTTCCATATGCTGCCAGTCTTTCTCTATGCTGGCTAAACTCTCCAACCATGCAACTCCTGCTGAACCTTACTACAGGCTATGTGTACCCTTCTTTCTTGTATCTCTCAGCACAGACTGGATATTACCTTCTCATCAGATGCACCTCCTGAAGAATCCTACTGGGAGATGGATACTCCTTCCCAGTTTGAACTCTTCCTGCACACATAAACTTCTGACTTAGTCCTCTCCGGTTAGCCATACCATATATCCATGCACTTCCTGGCTAACCATTCCTACACTGACTACACCCTCCACTAATGCATATTCTTCAAGATACACCACCAGGCTGGATGCTCCCTCCCCACTTGCATCAATTACCAAGTCTATGCTTGGATAAATGCTCCCTTCAACCATGGACTTCATTTCCAATCCTTCCCTAGAATGCTTGTAATATCCACACAGGCACCTCCTCCCATGTTCTACCCTAAATTAAATGCTCCCTCCTCCCATGCATCTCCTGTTGGTTTGTGCTCTAGACTGGCTGTATCCTCCATCCATGCACCTCTTGCTGAGCCCTCCTTTAGGCTTTATGTTATGCTCACTACACCCATGTGTGTCCTGCCAAGACTATACCAAGGCTAGCTGGTCACTTCACATATTTAACTCCTGTGCAGCGTTCTCTTAGGGTGGCTGCACTTTCTTGCCATGCATATTTTACTGTATCTCAACCTAGATTGAAAGCACACTCCATCTGTAGACCCCATTCTGAGTCCTTCCATGTTTGGCTGCTCCTTCTGACCATGCAGAGTGCTCCCTCAGGCTGCCTTCTCACTCCACTCATGCAGTTCTTCCTGAGTCTCACCTAAGCTAGATGCTTCCTCCACCCGTGGAAGTACTGCCAAGTATTACCCTATGCTGGATGAACACTATTCCCATGCTTTCCTTGCCAAGATTTCCTCTAGTTTTTCTGCACATTCTTCTCATAAACTTCATGATCTGCCCACACATTTCACTCATATAGTTCTTGCCCTGTTGTCTCATTGGAAGAATGACCCCCACACCCATACAACTTTGGCTCAGTCTAACCCTAGGCTGGATGCACCCTCCACTAACACACCTTCCAATATTCCTTCAATCTGATTTCTCCTACCCCCACCTCCACACACATATTTCCTGCTGAATCTTCCCATCTTTTGGTTACATTTTCTACTCATTTATGTTATATCAGATATTCCCCAAGATGGATGCTTCTTCCACCCAGGCACTGCCTATCAGGTAATTGTCTAGGCAGACTGAGGCCTACATTCATAATCTCCTGATGATTCTACCCTTAGAATGGTCACTCCGTTTACCCATGCACTTTTTGATGTGTCTTCCCTGGGCTGGCTGAATCGTCCATCCATGTACCACCTCCGTGGCCTCCTATGTGCTAGATGTACACTTCACCCATCCACTTTCTCGCATGCCTTCTCTTAAGCTTGCTAGAACCTCTACCCATAGACTTCATGCAGAGTCCTCCCCCAAGCTGCATAACCCTCTCTCATGCGCTTCCTACTGAGTCTTTCCTTAGGCTGTATACTCTCTTCTTCCATTAATCTCTTGCTGAGACTCTCTAGACTGAATTCTCATTCCTCTGACTCACCTTCTGTCATGCCCTCAGATAGTCTAGATGCTTCCTCCACTGTTACACTTACCATCATGTATTTCCTTTGGTTGCATTTGCCCTCCAGATCCTCACCTCTTGCCATATCTTGCCATAAATTTGTCACTTCCTCTAATGATGCATGTTGTAGAAATCCTTCCTTAGCCTGGATTCTCCCTCCACCCGTACAACTCCCATCAAATCCTTCCCTGGGCCAGATGATCCCTCCACTTCCGCACCTCTATCCATGACCTCTACTAGACTGCATGCCCCCTCCTCTGATGCATTTACTGCCAAGTCTTCACAGAGATTGGATGCTCCCTCCTAAGTTTCACTTCCTGTCATCTTCTTCTTTTGGCTGGCTGCAACCTTAACCAATCCACCTCTCAAAGAGTACTATCCTAAGTTTTTGGCAACTTCTGCTCATGCATTTACTGTTGGATAGTTTCCAAAGCTGGCTTAAGCTGCCATTTATGTACATCCAGCTTGTTCCTCCCCTTGGTTGACTGCATCCTCCAGTCATACACTTGCTGAAGAGTCAACCCCTAAGCTAGGTGCTCCCTACACAAAGGCATCACCTGACATATTCAGCCCTATATTGGCTGAATATCCATCCATGCACTGACGGCCGGATCTATTGTTGAATGCATACTCCCCTGAATCATTCACTTCCTGTTTTGTCCAACCCTATACTGGCTGCAACCTCTACCTATGAACAACCTCCTGCATCCTCTTAGAACTGGATGCCATTTTTCTTCTACTAAGACATTCTCTAGGCCTTCTGCACCCTCTATTCATGCACCTTCAGGTTAATCCTTCCCTAGACTAGACGATCACTTCACCCATGCATGTTCTACTAACACCACCTATAGCCTGCCTGTTCCCTCTACATATTCACTCCTTGATAAATGTATTTCTTGGGTTGCAGAATTCCCTACTGTATTAGTCTGTTTTCACACTGCTATAAAGAACTACCTGAGACTGGATAATTTATGAAGAAAAGAGGTTTAATTGACTCACAGTTCTGTAGGCCTAACAGGAAGCATGAATGGGAGGCCTTAGGAAACTTACAATCGTGGCGGAAGGCGAAGGAGAGGCATGCACATCTTCGCAATGGCAGAGCAGTAGAGAGAGGGGAGGGGGAAGCACTACACTCCCAAACAACCAGATCCTGTGAGAACTCACTCACTATCATGAGAACGGCAAGAGGGAAGTCCACCCCCATGATCCAATTAGGATTCACCAGGCCCCTCCCCTGACATGTGGGGATTACAGTTTGGGTGGGGACACAGCCAAACCATATCACCCACCCAGGCATGTCATGCCTAATCATATCCTAGGTCAACAGTATGCTTGAGTACTTCACTCCTTCCAATTCCTACTTCCGTTAGAATCTCCTCCACCATACACCTGCTACACAGTCCTCCATAGGCTGACTTTTCCCTCCCCTCATGCAACTCATGTCATGACTGAATCGAGGTGTCAACCAATCTGTACCCATGTACATCCAGTCATGTCCTCTGCAAGAATGTTTGCAGCCTCAACTAATGCAAAATTTCTAGACTCTTACCATAGGCTAGCTGCATTCTCCACCCACACCTATCTCAACACATAACCTGTTGAGATCTCCCCAGGGTGGCTGTACTATCCACCCATGTTCATTCTTTCAAGTTCTCCTCAAAGCTGAGTGCTTTTTTTCTCCCACTCACCTCCTGCCAGTTCCTCCTCCAGGATCACTGTAGCCTCCACACACAATCTTCCTGTTGCTGCATACACTATTAGCTGATTGTTTACTCCAACAACATATAAAATACAGTCATGCTTTAGGCATGTCCTTCCACACATGCACCTTTGAAAGATACCTCCAGTAAGGCTGGAAGCTATCTCAGCCTACATTACTCATAATATGATGTCTAGATAGCTAGCTGCAAAATACACAAATACACCTCCTTCTAAGTCCTCCCCTAGGCTGAATGCTCCCTCCACCCATGCACTTCTTGACAGCATTTTTTAAGCATAGTTCCTTCCTTTACTCAAGTTCTTCCTGCTAAAATCCTCCCTTAAAGTAGAAACTCCCTCCACCCATGCACTTCCTGGTGAACTTACTCTAGGGATGAAGCTGTTTTCACCCAAGCACATCTTGCTGTATACTCTCCTAGGCTGGCTACAACCTATGCCCATGCAACTCCTGCTGGGGCCTGCCTTAGGTTGGATGGTATCAGTTTCTATGGAATTCCTGCTGTGATCTCCACAAGGGTGGCTTCAGTCACAACAGATGCACTCCTGACAGATGCACTCCATACTGGCTGTACCCTCCACCTTTGTTTCTGCTGAGTACTACTCTAGGCTGGATGCTCCTTCCACCTATTTACTTGATACCAGGTTCACACATGGGCTCTCTAAACCCTGCAGCAGTGCTCCATCTACTATGTGTTCCCATGCATTAGCTGCCAGTGCTTCCGTTTGGCTGAATTCTCCCTTCTCTCATGCACCCCATACTGATCATATTTTAGTCCTAAGACCTTCTGCTCCCAAAAGACCTTGCTGTGTCCTCTCCTAGGCTGGCTGCAGCCTGAATCCTTGCAACTCTGCCATGTACTAGCTTTGACTAAGTACACATCTGAGTGCAGATGGCTGAGGCACTATCTCTGAGTCCTCTCCTAAACTTGGTTCAGCCTCCACCCCATGGACTTTCTGAATGAATCTTCCCTTGACTCTCTTCTCCCTCCGCCATGAACTTATTGCTGAGTCCTCTCTTAGGTTGTCTTCAACCTGAACCCATGGTCACCTGCTAGGACTCCCCAAGGGTATATATTCCCTGCCAAATCTTCACATAGACTGGTTCTTCCGCCTATTTCATGCACTTCCTTTCAATACTCTTCTAGGCTAGCTACACTTTGAAACCTTGTATCATCTGTCATTCCTTCACCTAGACAGACTAAATTATCTTTGATGCATCTCTCTCTTACTGTATCTTCACTTAGGTCGAATAAACTCTCACCCCTGAACTTCCTGTCATATTTGCCACTAGGTTGGATGCTGTCTACTCATGTACTACATTCTGAGCTGACCCATGTGCTTCCTGATGTGTCCACTCATGTTCTTGTTATTCCAATGCACTCATGAACCTCTTTTCATGTACCCCTTAGGGTGGTCGCATTCTTTACCCATTCGTCTTCTGTCAGGTTATTCCCTAGGCTGACAGCACTCTGCACTCATGTACTTCTTGGCATGTACTCCCTTTATATGGATGCATCTGCACCCAAGTATCACCTGCTGAGTCCTCCAGGATGAGTATGCCTTCTAGGCATTTACTTCTTCCCAGATCCTCCCCCAGGCTGCTTGCAACTTCCATTGAGGACCTTAATGCTGGTTTAAGTTGGTTTTTGCCTTCTGCCACGAACCTTCTGCTGATACCTTCCCTAAGACTGGAAGCTCCCTCAGCCCACGACTCTCCTACCATGAACTTCCCTATTCTGACAGCACATTATAAACATACACACCCTATTGAGACCTCCCCTAAGCCTGATGCACCCTCCACCCAGGCACTACCCTCAGTTTGATGCACTCTCCACCCAGGCACTATCCTCTAAGTTGTTTGCTTCCAAAACGTATGCACCTCTGCTAAATCCTCCCTTATTCTGCATGTCCCTTCATTCACCCATGCAACCTCTACTGATTCCTTCCCTTGGTTAGCTGCTTCTTCCATACAATTACTATTTTACTATTTGATGGACCTTCTCCTAGGCTCACTGCACCCTCATCCTTCCTACCTCCTGTCAAGTTCTTCCTTCATCTGGAAGCTCTCTCCACCCAGGAACCTTCAGCCATATCCTCCCTTAGTGTTGCTGCAAATATCATGCATTAATTTCCTACAAGTCCTCCCTTAGGAAAGATATTCCTTTCAATTATGCACGTACTACTGAGTCCTCCTATAAATTGAAGGTAACCTTCAACTTTGCACCTTCTCCAAAAACCTATCCTAGGCTGCCTGGTCTCTCCACCCTTTTATTTCTTGTCAGGTTCTTCCCAAGACTGGCTGCATATTGCATGAAGGCACATTCTGTTATGTCCTTCCCTAGGCTAGCTGCACCTTGATTCCATGCACCCACTATTACATCCAACCCTAAGCTAACTGGATCTTCTCTAATGCACTTTGTCTGAAGTTCCCCTATACTACTTGTACTGTGTAACTCTGCACCTCCTGCAATGTTCTCCCCTAGGCTGGATGCATCTTCTATTATGAATTATCTGCCAAGTGCTTCCCTAGGATAGATTTTCCTCCTGTCCATACACTTCCTTATGGATTGTCCCTTAGGCTCACTACACGCTCTACCCATGCAACTCCCGCCAAGTTCTCCATTAATCTGGATGTTCCCTTCACCAATGCACTTCATGTCATATCATCGCAGGCTGGCTGCAACCTCCACTCATGTATGTTTTGTAGTTTTTCCTCTGGGCAGGATGTCCCTCCAGCTATACATATACTGCTGGGTGTCTCCCAAGCCTGGTTGCACAATCCACCTTTTCTCCCCTAGCCTGGCTGTGTTCTACAACCAAGCACTTTCAATTGTGTCATCATGTTACCTGGCTGAATCCTACCCCAACTCACATCCTAATATGTACTCACATAGGCTTCCAGCAATCTGCACCCATATACCAACTGCTCTGACTCATCTTGGTTGAATGATCCCTCCTCCCATGTACTTCTTGTTGGTCCTCTTCTAGGTCTGTTTCCACCTATGCACATCCCAGTTGGTCTTCCCTTAGGATGGATGAATCCTCTTCCATGCAACTCCTGTGTGAACCTCCACCAGGGTTATTAAACTTTCTGCCAGTGAACTTCCTGCTAAATCTTCCAGTAAGCTGACTGTACCTTCCAACATCGAATCTTCCTCCAAGCTCTCTATTAGGCTGACAATTCTTCCCACTTATTCACTTCCTACTATGTCTTTCCCTTGGCTCACTATGCCTTGCACCAATGCATCATTCCCAACGAACTCCCCAAGGATGGTTGCACCCTGTACCCATGCTCCACCTGCCAGTTCTCCTCTTTGACTGAATATGCCTTCCCAATGTTCACCTTCTTCCAGTCCAATTCTAGGTCTAAGGCTTTCTCCACCTGCACTTCTTGCTTGGTCCTTATCTAGACTGGCTGCACTCTCCACCATATACCTATTGCCACAACTTCACTTAGGCTAGATACTCCTTACTCCCATCTACTTCCTTTAGGGACATCATGGGCTGGATGCTTTCTCCTTCCATACATTTCATTTTTATCATCTGCTAGGCTGGTTGTACCTTCCAACCATATCTCTCCTGCCATATCATCCCCTAGGTTGGATTACCTATATCCACGAACTACCTAATGGGTCCTCCTCTGAGCTTTGAGGACCATTAATTCATGTAATTTCTCCCATTTCTATCCCCCTAGACTAGCTGTACACCCCACCAATGTGCTCCTTGTAACCATCTGTAGGCTGGCTGCACACTGTGTCCAGGCACCACCAACCAGGACTTCCCCTGCTGTGAATGTTTTTTTAACCATGAACCCCTTGCCAATCCTTCCATAGGTTGCATGTTCCTTCTAACCATGTAATTCTTGCCACACTGTCCTCTTGAATGACTATTTTTCTTTTCAACTTTTTATCGTATGTTGAGCCCCTGCCCTCCCCAATACACACACACACACACACACACACACACACACACACACACACACGCAGTAGCATCCCTACCAAGCCATGTACTTCCTGTCAAATTATCTGCCAGGTTCACTGTACCCTCCACCCATGCACTTCTTGCCATAACTTCCCTTTCTCTACCTCAAACTTCCACTGATGCATTTCCTGTTATTCTTCCCTTAGGTAATATTCTACTGCCACCTATGAACGTATTGCTGGGTTCTCCCTTAGATTGGATGTACACTACAGCTTTGCACATCCTGTTGAGACCTCCTGTAGCCTGGATGCTCTCTCGAAAAACAACAAACAAACAAATAAAACAAACAAAAAAAACACTTAAAGACAGGTCCCATCAGAGCCTGATTGCATCCTCCACCAATGCACATCCTAATATTCCCCCCATGGACTGAAGGAACCAGTTCATCCATGCACCATCCACACATGAAGGGAGGCAGAAACCTCCTACCATGCACCATCTACTAGGATTCAACTTGGATCAATACTTTCTTCTACCATATGCACACTCTCCTTTACCCTATAGGCCTGATGCATTTTCCATGAATTCTCAGGATGGTTGTCTCCTGAAAAATGCACTAGTTGCTGGGTTTTCTTCTGGAATGAATGGTCCTCCTCCTATGCACCACCCATCAGGGTCTTATCTAATATAAATGTAACTCTCACCTACGCACCTCTGCAAAATTATCTTCAAGGCTAGATGGTCTCTTCACCATGTATTTTCTGCTGTATCCTCCACTAGGCAGGATCCTCCCTTAGACTTCTTCATGATTGAACCTCCTGCTCAGTCCTACAATAGGGTGGCTGTTCCTTTCACACATCCACTCCCTGCAGGATCCTCCCCAAGGCTTGCTGCAACTTCAATCCACATACATACTGCCAAGCCTTCTCCTAGTCTGGAGGCTCCTTACACCCAGTCACTTTCAAACATAACCTTCTTTAATGCGCTTCAACCTCCACACACGTATCACCAGTGCATCTCTCCCTGGAAATAATACCCCTTCTACTTCAGCACATACTTCTGAGTCCCTGTCTAGTTTGAATGTTACCTCTGCCTTTGCACACTCTGCTGAGTCCTTCCCTAGTCTGGTTGATTCTTCAAACTTTGCACTTCCTTCCAGGTGCTCCTAAAGACTGGCAGCACTCTGCAATAATGCAAGTCCTATTATATCATCCCCTAGGCTGGTTTTAAGTTGCAACAATAAGTTTTCTGATGTGTATTCCCACAGACTGTCTGCACATTATTTTATCCATGTCTTGTTTATGCACATTAAGCCATGTCCTAACCTTTGATATCTACACCCTGTTATCCACATTCCTCTTGCCATATCCTTTCCTACCCAGGATGAATGCTTTCCCCTGTACACTTCCTGCTGATTCTTCCCCTAAGCATGTTGCACAATTCTCTCATGAGCCTCTGTCTTTTTTTTTTTTTTTTTTTTTTTTTTTTTTTTGAGACGGAGTCTCACTCTGTCGCCCAGGCTGGAGTGCAGTGGCGCAATCTCGGCTCACTGCAAGCTCTGCCTCCCGGGTTCATGCCATTCTCCTGCCTCAGCCTCCCGAGTAGCTGGGACTACAGGCGCCTGCCACCACGCCTGGCTAATTTTTTGTATTTTTAGTAGAGACGGGGTTTCACCGTGTTAGCCAGGATTCTTGATCTCCTGACCTCGTGATCCGCCCGCCTCGGCATCCCAAAGTGCTGGGATTACAGGCGAGCCTCTGTCTTATCTTCCTAGGCTAGCTTCATTCTCCACCCATGCACCTATTGTTAGGCCTACCTCAATCTGCACTCATGCATCTTCTGCAATATCCTGACCTCAGATGGTTGGCCCATGCACTCATATGTCACTTGTCAATTTTTCATCTTGGCCAGATAGACCTTCTTTCCATCTACCTTCTGCAGGTCCTATTCTAGGCCTGAGGGTCTCTTGACTCATGCACTTCTTGCAGAGTTCTTCTCTTAGTTGGCTTCATTGTGAACCCATGAATCTCCTGCCATTTTATCCCTATGAAAGTTATACTCTGCCCATGGATCTACTGCTAACTGTCTAGCCTAGCTGCATTCTGAAATATTGCACATCCTGCTAAGTTCTCCCTCTCATACCTGTATCCACCATCCATATACCTTCTGCTGCATTCTCTTCTAGGTTGGATAAGTCTTTAATATGTTTATTTCCTGCTGGCCACTTCCCTAGACTGGTTTGCAACTTCCACACATCTTGTTTGTCAGTTACTCTATTAAGCTCTTCATTCTCTCCAAACATGTACCACCTGCAGATTCTTCCTCTATGGTTCATTGCTTCCTTCACCCATGTACCCTCTGCTGAGCATCTCTTAAATGAAAATTCCATCTATCCATAAAACTTCCTGCTGTGTTGTCTCTCCAGACTTGTTATAGCACACATTCATGCACTTAACTATCATGTATTCCCCTATGCTAACTGCACCCCACCCTCTGGCACCTCTTGCCATATTGTTTCCTTGAAAGTCTACAACATCCATTCATTAACCTCCTGCTATGTCCTCCCCTAGGATAGCTGTGCCATTCAAGCATATATTTCCTGCTGATCCTTTTCTATACTGTCTGCAATCTTCACATAAGACCTACCTGCTGGGCTCTATATTAAAGCTTGTTGTTTCTTCCAACCACTCACCACCTGTATGTGGTGCTTTAGGCTGGATGACTTCTCCACCCATGCAAGTTCTGTCAGTATTTCCTGTTGGGGCTCAGAAAATGACAACCTAAAATATGGGCCTCAGAAGTAACAGTTTCTCTCTGACCTTCTCCTGCTGTCCTGTATCTTGTCCCTCATTCTCTCCTGAGGCCAGCCATAGAAACTAGAATTTCTCTTCCTCAAGGCAGAATCATTTTTCCTCCAAAGCAGCCATAAGGCCTAATATATTACTCTAACTTTCCCCTTCTTTTTTATGTAAGAAATAGCTATAAAGTAATTCTCTGACCAACCTCTCTAATTGTAGGTCATAAGACCCTCATTCCAGAAAGGATCTTACCCCATACCTGAGAGGAAGGAAGGCTGCAAGGAGTGGCCAGGAAGAATCTGAACACACAGTCCTTGCTGAGTTTTCCCACTCAATCTGTTAGCATTAGCTCATACCCCAGTCGAAGTTCTATATGGCTATCTATTATTCATTGAAACCAAAGCATAAAAATGGACAGCTCCCCCTGTATCTTTGGGTCTTCATTATGAAGGCTTTTATGTCATGAAAAACTATTATCGAATAAATTGTTATCATTTTCTCTTCTTAACTTGCTTTTGTTATAGGGATGTCAGCCATTCTTCCTTCTGATGGGGAGGAAAGTTGCAGCATGTTGGCAGCAGACTACATACATACACCACATGCTGTTTTCTCCCTTATGCTGGATGTTACTGCCAGGTTCACCTATGCGTATCCTGTCTGTGCCTCTCTAAGTCTGGCTGCCCCCAGAACAAATGCACCACCTATTACCTCCCCCATAGGCTAGCCACAACCTCCAAACATGCAAGAGTTGCCTATTCTCCACAAGACCAACTAGAGCCTCCATCCATGCATCTCTTGTGTTCCTCCTACATTACGCACCCATGCACTTCTTGGCTGCATTAGGCCCCCATGTATTTTTTAGCAACGTCTACCTACAGGCTGGATCCCTTCTCCATTTATTTACTTTCTGTTGGGTTCTCTCCTAAGGTGGCAGCCTACACTCTGCATCCATGTTCTTCTTGCCAGGTCTCATCTTGGCTGAATGCTCTCTCCTCCCATTAATCTTTTTCCTATACTCCCCTAGGCCTGATGATTGCTCCACCCATGTTTTATTGCAGGTCCTTCTATAGGATGGCTACACCTTCCACCCATGCATTCATGCTCAGGCTTCACCTAGGCTAGATACGGCTTCATCCATATTCAACTTATCTAGCCTTTCCCTAGGCTGAATGCTGTCTCCACCCATGTACCATCTGCCAATTCTTTCTCTACGCGAGATTCTCTCTACACACATATACCTCATGCCTTCTTTGGACTAGCTTCAACCCCTAGCCATGCATCTCTTATGGTTCTCACCCTAGGCAGGTTTCTGCCTCCATGTATGCATGTCTTTCTGGGTTCTCCCCTAAGCTGGCTATACACTTCATCTTTTCCCCTCTTTCTTAGACCTCTCCTAGCCTGGATGCCCACTCCATCCATGCACTTCACATACAATCCTGAGAGCCTGGTTGCACCTTGCATCAATGTGCATTGTAACATGTACATCTAGAAGCTGGCTACATTACCATTTTTTTAACCTGATAACACTCCCTTTGGCTGAAAGTTCCTTCTTCCTTTTCACATTCTGCCTGACCTCTAACAGACCTGATGCTGTCCTTGCCCATGCTCTTCTTGCACAGTCCTTCTATGGGTTGGCTCTACCTTGCAGCATGCATTTTCTGCTGGGACCTCCTATAGTTTACATGCTCCTTACTACATTCCATGCACATCCTAAGGAGTACCCGCATTTGCTAGATGCTCCATCCACCAATGCACTTTTTGCTGATCCTCCTTTGGAATGGCTGAAATTTAAAAATATACATATTTTGCCATGCTTTCCCCTAGGTAACCTGAATCATACAGCCATGAATCTGCTGCCAAATACTCATTCAGGCTTCTGCACCCTGTACCCATGCACTTCTCCTGTATTTTACCTAAACTGGCAGCACCTTCCAACCATGTACCAATGGCTTATCCTCCATAAGTCTGAGTGTTCTTTCTGCAGATCCTCCCCTATGGCTGTAAGCTCCCTCAACCCATAACCCTCATATAATGAACTCCCCTAGGCTGGCTGCACACTGCACATATACTCCTCCTGACAAGTACTCCTGTAGGCTGCTACTACCTTTATGTATGCACTTCCTGCCAAGTACTTCTTTAGTCTGCTTGATTCCTCCATCAATGAACATCCTGTCATTTTCTACATGAGGCCATTGTCACCCTGCACCCATGTATCTTGCATTTTGTTCTCCCATAGCCTGGCTATTCCCTGCACCCATGCACCTTTTGCTAGGTATATCTTGACTGAATGCTTACTTGTCTTATGAATTTCCTGTCATTCATGTTCTAGGCCTGAAGTTTCTCCACCCATGCATTTCTTCCAGGCTCTGCCTCTAGATTGGTTGCACACTCCGTTCATTTAAGTTACACTGGAGCCTTTCCTATGTTCAGTGTTTCTTGTCCCCATACTTATCCTGCAGAGACTTTCCTAAGCTGGGTGCTTTCTCCTCCATGTATTATAGTTCTGCTGAACCATTTCTGCATGATTTCTCCTGTGCAGTATTATCTCCAAGCTATGTACAAAACATTTGGCTCTTTCTTAGACTGGCCATATATTCCACCTATACATAACCTGAATTAACCGGCTACTTGGCCAGTTACAGTTGGCTGGCTACAAGGGCAATTCCTGCCATTCCTTCCCTAGGCAAGATGCACCTTCCACCAATGCAAGACTTTCCAGAACCTGACCTAGTCTGGATTGTCTCTACACCCACGCAATTCCTTCTGGATTCTCCCTTTAACTAGCTGCATGCTCTACCCATGAACCTCCTGCTGAGCCTTCACCTAGACTGGGTGCTCCCTGCACCCATGAACTTCCTGCCATAAGCTGATTCTACCCTCATCTTTACATCTCCTGCATAGTCTTCCGTTAGTTTGACTGCTCCTTCTACCCTTGCACTTTTGGTTGAATCCTTTCCTAAGTTAATGGCACCCCACATCAATGTACCTCCTACTATGTCTACACCTAGCCTGACTGCCCCACTGAATAATGCACCACCTACAGAGGCCTCTGGTAGGCTGGCTGTACCCTGTAGTTCTGCAACTTCTATCATATCCTTCCTTAGGCTGCATGCAACCATCAATCATGCACAACCTGACGAATAATTATCTCATCTAGATATTCTCTTCACTAGTTTACTTCTTACTAAATTTTCCCCTAAATTCCATTCACCCTTGTTTTGAACATCTGGCCAAGTCTTCCCCTAGTCTGGATGCTCCTTACACCCAAGAATCTCCAGCTGTATCCTCCGTTAGGAAGCATGAAATCTCCAACCATGCATCTCCTGCAGATTCTTCCCTAGGCAGGATACTATTTCCACTTATGTATATGTTGCGGGGTCCTCTTCTAGACTAGGTGTAACCTCCACTTTTCCACCTTCTACTGGGACCTATCATAGGCTGGCTGCTCTCTCCACTTATGAACTTTCTACTGTGTGCCCCCTGAGGCTAGCTGCTCCCTTTTCCTAGAAATCTGCTAAACCTCTCCTTGGCTGAATGCCCCCTATGCCCATGAAACTTTTCCAGTCCTCTTCTAAGCTTGATATTTCTCTATACATGCACTTCTTTCAAATTACATCTAGGTTGTCTGCTCATTACACACATACACCTCCTGCCAAGATCCCCTATGCTACATTCTCCCTAAACTCATGCACTTTCAGCCATATTGCCCCAGAGACTGGCTTCAACCAATATGCACTTATGTTTTGTGGATCCTTCCCTAGGCAGGATATTACCTCTACCTACACACATATTGTTAGGTCCTCCTCTAGGTTGGATGTAACCTCCACTTTTGCAGCTCTTTCTGAGACCCCACATAGGATGGCAGCTCTTTCCATCCATACAATGCCTATTAGGTCCTGCCAGAGCTTTGCTGCACCTTACACACATATGCCATATACTAGATCTCCTTTTGTTAAATTCAATCTATTTTTATGCACCTCCTGTCAGTCCTCTTCTAGGCTTGATGGTTTCTCCCTCAAATTTACTTCTTGCAAGGTTCTTCTTTGGGATGGTTGCACTCTCCTTCTATGCAGTTCATGCCAGAGTCACCCATAGACTAGATACTCCCTTTTCCTGTACCCAGCTGAGTCTTTCTCTAGGGCAAATATTCCCTCCACCCATGCAGTGCTGCTGATTAGAAACTGGATGAAAGTTGCATATATGAAACTTCTTGTCATATTCTACCCTGGGAAGGATGCACCCTCCTCCCATGCACCATCTACTGAATCCTCTATGCTAGATTCTTTTTTCACCCTTGTACTTCATGCCCCATATTCCCTTGAGCTGGATGCAACATTCACCCATGCATCTTCCACTGAACTTATTTTAAGGAGGTTTCTGCCTCTATCTATGTATGTATTTCTGGATCCTCTATTCACCGTATACTCCAACTTTGCACATCCTTCTGGACCCCTCCTAGCTTGAGTATCCCCTCTAAACATGAATTTCCAGCAGGTTCCTCCCATAGCCTGCTTTAACCCTGGATCTCTGCACTTTATATTATGGCCATATGTAGACTGCACTCCCCTAAGCTGGCTTCACCTTGCACCTCTGCACCTCCTAACATTTGCTCCCCTAGTTTTGATACAGCCTCATCCATGCACCATCTGCCTAGACTAAATTATCCCTCCACCCGTATACTTTCTGCTGGGCTCACTGCACCCTTAACCCACTGACCTGCCAAATCCTTCCCTATTCTGGATGTTTCCTTGAGCCATGTACCTCCATCCATATTCTCCCTTAGGCTAGAGGCAACCATCACACATATGCATCTCCTGCCAGTCCTCTCCTAAGCAGGATACCCCCTTAACTAATGCAGGTGCTATCAGGTCCTCTTCTAGGCTGGAAGTAACCTCCATCTATGAGTCTCCTGTTAGTACTTTCTCTAGTCTGGCTTTTCTCACCATCTATGAAGTTTCTGGAAGTACTAACGCTAGCCTGGTTTCTCTCCCACACCAAATTACATTCTAACATGTCCTCCTAACAGGTGGCTAAAACTTGCCTCCATTTTCCACTTGCTAGGACTCCTTTTGGCTGAATGCTCACTCTTCCTATACACATCATGAGCCTTTTCTAATAGGTCTGATGCTTTCTTTTTACATTATCCTTTCTCCATGTTGGCTGCACTCTACACACCTGTAACTTCCGTTTCTATCCCTGGCAGGATGTCCCTTCTATTCATGAAAAACCTGTCAAGTCTTGCCAAGACTTGATTCTCTTTCACTCATTTCTTGCCAGATGCTCCCCTCAGTTGAAAGCAACATCCAACTGTGCACTTCCTGCTGTATTCTCCCCTAGATTGGATATTTCTTCAAACTCTGCACTTCCTACCATATGCTCCTATTGGCTTGCTGCACCCTCCGTTCATGCATCTATACTGTGCCCTTCAATACCGTTGAAGATCCCTCCACTCATGTGATAGCTGCTTAGTCCTTCCCTAGGGTAACTTCACCTTGTATTCATGCAACAGCTATCAGATCTCACCTAAGCTGAATCCTCCCTCCTCCCGTGCTCCCATTTCTGATCCTCTTCTAGGCCTGATGATTTTTCCACTCGGAATTCTGAAAGAGACCTTCTCGAGGCTGGAAGAACCCTTCACTTTTGCAGTTCATGCCAGAGCCTAACCTATTGTACGTATTCTTTATTCCATGCTCATCTCACAGAATCCTCCCATATATTAGATATTCCCTCTACCTGCGCACTTCTGCTGATCCTCTCCTGTACTATGTGAAAGTTGCAACCATGAAACTCATGCCATATTCTCCTGTAGGATGGGTACAATTTCCATCCATGCACCTGATGAATACTCTCATAGTCTAGATTTTTCCCTCTATCCATGAACCTCATGCCACATCTTTCTTTACTTTGGCAACAACCTCAACCCATGCAACTCCTGCAGCTCTTACCCAAGGCAGTTTTCTTACTACACCAATGAACATATTTCTAGACCCTTCCTTAGGTTGACTGTACCCTCTGATTTTGCACCACCTTCTGAGACTTCTTCTAGTCTTGCTGCTCTATCCAGCTATGAATTTTTAGTAAGGTCCTACGAAGGATTAGCTGCACCCTGCATCAATGCACATCATAATATATGCTCTATGGGCTGGCTACAACCTGCTACCATTTTCTGCTGGCCAGGACTCCATTTAGCTGAAAGTTCCTTCTTCCCATTTATCTCATTTATTCTACCTTAGGTCTGTTGTTTTCTTTACCCATGCATTTCTTGCAGGGTCCTTTTCTAAGTGGCTGCATTCTACACCCATGCACTTCCTGCTACGATGTGTATAGGTGGGATGCTCATTGTCCCCATATACCTCCTGCCAAGTCTTCCCCCAGCTGAATGCTCCCTCCACCCATGCATTTCTTGCTGGCACTCTCCTAAGCTGGCTGAAGCTTGTATATATGCATATCCAGTTTTGTCCTCCCATAGTTAGGCTAAACTTATCTTGCTTGTACCCTGCACTCACACACCTCCTACCATGCCCTTCCTCAGGCTTGTTGAACATTTCAACTATGAATTCAGCATCATATCCTTCAATAGGCAGGACGCCACCTTTACCCATGCATTTCTTGTGGGTCTTCCCATGGTCTGGCTGTATTCTGTACCCATGGACCGCCTGTGATTTTTTCCCCTTAAACTAGATTCTCCCTCCACCTATACACTTGCTGATGAGTTCTCCCATAGGCTAGCTTTATTATGTACTCACGTATCAGCTTCCAGATCTTAATTGGCTTGTATACATCTCTTCTCATGTGATGTTTGTTATTTTTCTAGGCATAATGATTTTTCACTCATGAAATACTTGTCAAGTCTTGCACTAGGCTGGCTGCACACTAACACATTCAGCTCAACTATAACTAATATGCCCACACCTATGCTGGCTGCATCCTGTACCCAGGGACGTCCTTCTTTGTTATTTTACAGCCTGGCTTCACAGTCACGCCATGCACCTCTTACTGGGTCCTCATCTAAGAATGGCACACTCTTCACCCATGTACTTCCTTCCAAGTCCTCCCCTGAGATAAATGTACTCTTCATGCATGCACTTTCTGCCTAGTTCTCCCACAGGCTGATTGCACTCTGCATCCATCTCTATCTACTATGCCTCCTCCTAGGCTGGATTCATCCTGCACCCACAAAACAATGGCCAGGTATGCCTTTTGGTTGAATACTTTTTTGCTGCCATGCATACACTACTAATCTTATTATAGGCCTGGGGCTTTCCTCAGCCATGAACTTCCTACTAAGTCCTCCCCTACAGTGGCTGTACTCTCAAAAATACACCTTCTGCCAGGGCTTTCTCTATGTTGGTTGCATGCTATACCCCTCCACCTTCAGCTATATTCTCTCTTAGGGTAAAAGAACTATCCAACCATGTACAACCTGCAGAGTCCTTTCATATGCTCTACTCTTCTTCCATTCATGTACCTTCTGCAGGATCATTCCCTAGGCTCACTGAAAATTCTACCCATACAACTCTTGCTGAGGCCTCCCATAAGCTGGATATATCCTCCACACATTCATTTCCTTCCAGGTCCTCCCCTAGGTTGGCTGGAACCACCACAGCTGATTTGACTGCTGGGTTCTCTATCAAACTTTCCTTCAACTAGGCAGCACATGCGGAGTCTTGCTCTAGTCTGCATGACCCCTCTATTCATGTGCCTTCTGCAGATTCCTCCTCTAAAGCTGCAAGCTCGCTCAATCCCTGTGCCTCATACCATGAACTCCTGCAGCTCTTACCCAAGTGTATATCTACACTTCCTGAACACTATAAGTATATACCGGCTGCCTTGTCCTCCCCTAAGCTAAATGCTTCCTCCACGTTTGCACTGAATCCCTGGTGGACCTTCTTTTGTGGTAGCTGCTTCCTTCACCCATGCACCTCTGCCAAATCCTCTGCTAGGCTGAACACTCCCTCCACTCATTCACTTACTGCCAGATTCTTCCCTAGCCTGGCTGTTTTCTCCATCCATGAACTATCTGCCGAGTCCTCCTTTAGGCTAGTAGAATCCTGTACCTTATATATCAGCCACTATATCTGCCCAGAGATTAAATGCACACTTTACAAATGCATCTTCTGCTGGAGCCTCCCCTAGCTAGATTTTTTTCCATCCAATCGTTTGCTGCCAGATCCTCTTCCTGGTTGATGGCACCCTCCACCTACACACCTCATGCCATATTCTCCCCTAAGCAGTATGTACCTTTTACCCTTGCACTACCTCTTGAATCCTCCCCTATGCTTACTACATCCTCCCTGAAAGTACCCATGCTGTGTTCGCCCATTGGATAGATGCTCTCCCTACCTGTGCATCTCTGACTAGGTCTTATCCTAGCCTGACTACTTCATCCACCCAGATACCTCCTACTGAGTCCTTCCCTAGGCTAGATGCACCCTCCGCTCATGCACGTCCTATGGGGTCCTCCAGGCTGGTAGATCCCTGCTTCCATATGCTTAATACTACATCTGCCCCTAGGCTAAATGCACACCCAATTAGTGCACCCCCTACAAGCAACTCTCTTAACTCCCTGTGTCCTCCCCCAAGCCGGACGACTACCATGAACTACCCTAAGTTGGATACACTCTCCACATATGCTCATTCTATGATATCCTCCCCTAGTGTGGCTCTACTTCAACTTTGCACCTCCTATTGAATCCTCCTGTAGACTGACTACTCCCTCCCATGAACTACCTGCCAGCTCGTACAGTAGGCTGACTGTACCCTGAACCAATGCACCTCTTACTATGGTCACTCCTGGACTGGTTGCAACCTAGACCCATGCACCTTCTTCATTGGTCTCCCCTAGGCTGGATGTATCTTCTACCACTGTACTACTTGATAAATCCTCCCCTACAATATATTCTTCTTCTTTCCATGAACTTCCTTCCAGATTGTCTCCTAGGGATGTTGCTCCCTGCACCTCATGCTTCATCTCCCCATAGCCAGCTGCAATCTCCAAACACACATTTCCTGTACTTCTTCCCCTAGACAGAATTCTACCCCCACCTGTGAATGTATTACTGGTCTTCCCCTAGGCTGGTTGTACCCTCCAACTTTTCACCTCCTGCTCGGACTTTCCCTTGCTTTGTTGCCCATTTAAACCAAGAACTTCCAGCAACATCAGCAGTGAATGTCTTAATATGTCCTAACATAGTCTGGCTTCAGTCTGACGCCCCACTGACTAAGACTTCATTTGGCTGAATGATTCTTCCTCCAATGTACCTTCAGTTGATCATCTTCTGGGTCTGATGTGTTCCCCACCTATGCACTCCCTGCAAGGACTTTCTCTAGGCTAGCTGCCCCTTCCACGTGTGTACTTCATGTTCAAGCCTCTCCTAGCCTAATGTCCCTTATTTCCATAAACATTCTGCCTGGGCCTGCCCTTGAATGGATGATCTGTCCAACCATGCAGTTCTTATTGATACTCTTCTAGGATGGCTGAAAATTTCAAACATGCAGATACAGCAATGATCTCCTCTAGGCTGACTGAAATGTCCACTTATGCACTTACTGCTAGATCCCTATTTGGGCTGCCTGAACCTGTATCTATGGACACCCCTATCCACCCATAGGCTTGTTACATCCTCCAAACATGCACTGCCATATCTTCCAATAGGCCGGCTGTGGCCTCTACTCATGCATCTCCTAAGTATCCTCCCTTCACTGGTTGTATTCTGCACCATGCACCTCCTGCAAGATCCTCCCTTAGTTCTGACACTTACTGCATCCAGGCACTTCTTTCAAGAGCTCCCCATTGTCTTAATGCTCCCTCCTCTCATGCCCCTTTTGTTGAGTCTTTCCTTAGTCTGGCTTCACACTGCCCACATGCACCATCTGCTAGGTTTCACATAGGCTGACTGCTCTCTCCCGCTATGCACATTCTGGTGGACTTCTTCTAAGACTGATGCCTTTTCTTCTCACACAAATCTTGCCAAGTCCGCTCCTAGGCTGGCCACACCCAAACTCCATGAAACTGTTGCCAGAATCAATGACTGCACACTGTATTTACGAACTTTCTGCTGAGCCCTCCTTTAATCTGGATGTGCCTTCTGTGCCTGAACCCCCTACTAAGTTCTCTTCTAGACTAGTTACACTCTTCACCCATATATAGCGCCTACTGTGAACAATCCTAGGCTGGATGCATCCTATACCCACGCACCACCAGCCAGGTGTACCCTGTGAAGGAATGTTCCTTTCTCTCATACATTTCCTGCTGATCCTACTCTAAGTCTAAGGCTTTCTCCACACACAAACTACCTGCTTGTTCCTCTTCTAGGATCGCTGTAGTTTGAAGCTATGAACTTCCTACTTTGTTTACCACTGGACTGGCTAAAACCCTGATCAGTACACCTTCTTCAAGGGATTTTCTAGGCTGGCTGCACTCTGTAGCCGTGTACCCCTTGCTATTTTTTTCCACTAGAATAGATCCATCCTTCAACGATGTACCACCCGTCAATCACTCTCTTACACTAGATTCTCCCCGACCCAAGCACACCTTGCCTGATTGTCTCCTAGACTTGTTGTACTCTCTACTTATGCCCCTTATGCCTTGTTGTCCCTTAAGCTGGCTGAAAACCCCATCCATTTATTTCCTGCTTCTTACTCCCATGTACCTCCTGCCAATTATTTTCTTATACTGGCTTTGCACTCCACCCTTGTATTGTCTGCAAGGTCACCCACTTAGTTGATGCTTCTTCCTCCCACTCACCTTCTACCTGTTTCTCCTCCTTTGTTATATGCTCCCTTCTCCCATGGGTGACCAAACAAGCCCTCCCCTTGGCTGCATTTTTCCTCTTCCCATGCACCTTCTGCAGGGTCCACCCTTAGCCTGGATTCTCCATCCACCCATGCATTTTTCTGCCATGTATATGGCATAATCACACAGTGAAACAATATAAGTCCAGAAAAAGAGTGAAGTATTGATAGAAGCAATGAAAAGAATGAACCTTGAAGACATGCTAAGCGAAAGAAGCAGACATAAAAGGTAACATACTGCATAATTTGATTTGCATGAAATGTCCAGAATAAGCGAACCTATAGAGACAAAAAGTGGTTTTCAGAGAATGGGAGGAAGGGAAATGGTGTAGTGACTGCTTGATGGACACAGGGTTTTTTGGGTGGTGTTTAAAATGTCACAGAGCTACATAGTGGTGATGGTTGTACAACATTCTGAATGTCCTTAATTCCACTGAATTGTATGTTTTAAAATGGTGAATTTTATGATATGTGGATTATATTCTAATTTAAAAAACAAACAAAACGGCAAAAATGTGCGATGATATCACTGAACAAAGAATGTGAAAAGGCAAATAAAATGAAACATGAAATCAGTTCAGTTTGTAAGTCAAAAGGGATTATGAACAGAAAAATAGGAGCACCATACACACCATCATTACTCTAGAGAAGATATGAATGCCACAATGAAGAACAGCCTCATATCATCAGTGCAGTGCTGTAAGTGAACAAAAGATATGAAAGAGGCAAAAAGAAGGCACCATAAACCATCCCTGAAGTAGAAACCAACTAGAAATGTGAATTGCAAAGGGAAGGATCCTAAAACCATTAGCGTGTTAGAGCAACTGGACAGTGGGTGTGACACGGCAAAAAAGAGAAGCACCACACCATAAGTACAGAAGAGAAACTGGATAGAGAAAGTGAGTGGCCAAAGAGAAAAAGAAATAACTGTGCTGAGGCTGTGGAAAAAGCAAATAGACAGATCCTACGTCGTTAGTTCACTAATGTAACTATACAGGAGATGTGACAGGGACAATCAGGAAGAGATCTGAACCATCAGTGCAGTGGCATAAATGGTCAGCGTGTGTGACCAGGACAAATAAGAATGCTGCACCATGAGTGCAATGGTGTAAGTCAATATTCACCAAAGAGAGAGCACTTGACATTATCAGTGCACTAGTGAACAGGGCAGGGAATGTGAACATGAACATGTGAAGCAGGAGTGCAGTGCAGTCATAGAACTAGACAGGATATGTGAACAGAGAAATAGGAAGAACTTCATATCATCAGTGAGTGGAGGAAGCAGGCGGAGGATGTTAGGAAAAAGATGATCCTCTGGCCAAGGGATGTAAACAAGAAAAGAGGAGGAGCCTCCTGGCACTAGTGCAGGGGAATGAATAGACAAAGTTCATCATTGGGGATAAAAGGGTGATGCCAACTTCATCAGAGAAATGATATAACTTGGAAGAGAAGGGAAACATTGTAAAGAGTAGGAGTCCCACACCATACAGTCAGTGGTTTGATTGTTCTGGGGAAGTGAAAATAGTAAGGAGAAAGAGTCCTGAACTATCAATACAGTGGCATAACATGGCTGAGACTATAAATAGACAAAGGGTAGCTCTACGGTATCAGTGTAGTGGTGTAAGTGGATAAGCTATGTGAAAAGAACAGAGATGAGAAAAGCCATATCATGAGTACAAGGGTATATGTTGTCAGAGGTAACCCTGCAAAGAAGAACTCTTGACTATTAGTACATTGATGTATCTGGGCAAAAGATAAAAACTTGCAAAGAGCAGCAGCTCCATCCTACCAGTGTAGTGTGAAAAATCGATAGAATATGGAATTGGAGAAGAGCATTCCCACATAGTCTGTGCAGTTGTAAAACTGGACAGAGTATGTGAACAAGGCCAAACAAAAGAGTCCCACCACAATAGTGCAGTGGTATAAGTGGGCCAGGTATGTGAACAAGGCAAGGAAGAGAACTTAGCTTTATCCATGCAGTGGATTAATTGGGCAAGAGATGTGAAAGGACAAATAGGAGTAGCTCTGAACCATAGGTATAGTGGTTTAACTGTGAAGGAGATTTAAACAAAGGAAAAATAAGGTGCCCCACACCAGCATTAATGGTTAGGTAAATGAGAATGTGACAGGAATAGAACCAAGAAGTGGAGCCTGACAACATTAGCACAGTTGTTTAACAGCACAGGGTATGTGAACAAGAAAAACAGGTGAATTGCCATACCATCATGATAGTCTTGTTTAAGCTGGCGATGTGAATTAGGCAAAGATAAGTCATACTGAAACATCAATGAAGCAGTATAATTTGGTGTAGAGTATGAAGCAGCAAAGAAGGGGAACCTCCCAGTGTAAGTCCAGTCCTATAACTTGGCAGAGGATCTGAATAGGCTGATAAGTAGGAACCTGTGGTCAGTATAGTAAGAAAACTAGAATTAAAGAAGAATTAAACTGAATAAATAGCAATAGCCATGCAACCTTAAGGTACAAAGATACTAGGGTAGAGGGGATGTTAGCTGGGTAAAGTGTAAGATCCCCACACTATCGGTTGTATTATCGAATTGGGCAGGATTGTAAATGGTGCAAATAGGAAAAAGTTGGCACCATCAGAGTAGTGGAGTAACTGGACAGAAGATACAAATGAAACAAAGGTACGGGCTGGGCACGGTGGCTCACGCCTGTAATTCCAGCACTTTGGGAGGCCAAGGTGGGCGGAACACGAGGTTAGGAGATCAAGACCATCCTGGCTAACACGGTGAAACCCCGTCTCTACTGAAAAAATACAAAAAAATCAGCCCAGCATGGTGGCGGGTGCCTTTAATCCCAGCTACTCGAGAGGCAGAGGCAGGAGAATGGCGTGAATCTGGGAGGCGGAGCTTGCAGCGAGCCCAGATAGCGCCACTGCACTCCAGCCTGGGGGACAGAGCGAGACTCTGTCTCAAAAAAAGAAAAAGAAAGAAAAAGAAAGAAAGAAAGAAAGAAAGAAAGAAAGGAAGGAAGGAAGGAAGGAAGGAAGGAAGGAAGGAAGGAAGGAAGGAAGGAAGGAAGGAAAAGAAAGAAAGGTACAGTGGTATAACTGGGCAAGGAATGTGAGAAAAGGCAAAGAGGTAGGGGAAGCTTGGTATAACTGGGAGGTGAATATGAATAGGACAAAGAAGAAGAAGCCCAATGTTCACTGAAGTGGAAGAACTGGGTGGGCAATATGAAGAGGGCAAAAGTAGCCCTACACCCTAAGTACAGCAGAGTAACTGGACAGGAGATGTGAGCAAGACAATGAGGGGGACTGGTTACCCACCAGTGCATTGGTTCATCCTGGTAACGGATATGAATAGATCTGTGACGAGGAGACCTGTCTCATGAGTGCAGTGGAATAACAAAAAAGAGATTATGTATGAATAAGGCAAAGAGGAGAAATCATGGGCTATCAGTGCATTGGAGTATCTTGGAAGATGTGATTAGGAGAAGAAATGGATCCTTGCAGAATAAGTGTGCTGTTTAAGTGGGAAGAGTATGAGTATGGGGCAAAGAAAGGAACTCCACCCAATGCATACAGTGCTGTAAGGGAGAAGGGATGTAAACAAGGCAAAGAAGAGGAGCCCTGCCTCAGGAGTAGAGTCTCAGAACTTCAGAAAGTATGCGACTGGGAAAGAGAAGCCCCATCCCTTCAGTCCAGTGAAGTAACTGGGTAGGGTATGTGCCCAGACTGAAGAGGAAGACCTTGGAAATCATCAATGCAGTAATGGCCGAATATGAACAGAGCAATGAGAGTACAACAGCATAACTGAACGAGGGATGTAAAAAAGGCCATGAAGACAAGGCCTGCTTCATCATTGCTGTGGTGTACTTGGTCGGGGGATGTAAAAAGGCAAAGAAAGGGGCCTCAAACCATCAGTTCATTAGAGCATCTGGACAGAGGATGTGAATGTGGCAAATAGTAGAAACACTGCCCCAAAAGTGCAGGCGTTTATCTAGATAGGGCATGTGGATGAGACAAAGAAGAAAAACCTGACACCAAATGCAGTGATGTAACTGAACAGGTAATGTGAAAATGCAAAGAGGTGGTTCCCCAAACCCTTAGAGAACCAGAGCAGCTGGGCAAGAGGAGAGGTGGTCTGGCCAATTAGTAGGAGCCCCACACCATCACTACAGTGGAGCAACTAGCCAGAGAATGTAGACAGGCAAAGAGGAAAAACCCTATGTCATCAGAGCAGTACAGTAACTGTACAACAATAGTGATCAGAAATGCAGGATGATATCTAATCCATCAGTGCAGTGATATAACTGGAAAGTGGGTAAGAACAAAGCCAAGAGGAGAAGCTCTGCCCCATTAATACAATGGCATAGTTTAAGCGGCTTTCTGAAATGGCAGAAATGAGAAGCCCCAAATCGTATGGGTGCAGGAAGAAACCTGCATTATCAGTTGCTGAATGGGAGATGTGCACAGGAAGTGGGGAGAACCCTTATAGTGGTGACTCTGGACAAGGGACGTGATCACAGTTAAGAACAGGGACTCAGCACCACCAGTGTGATGATATAAATGGAAATGGATATGAACCGTACAAGAGGAATGAACACCTCCCCCTTGCATAAGTACAGGGTACAGTGCAGAGCATGCTAACAGGGCCAAGATAACAAGCTCTGGACCATTAATGCTGTGGTATAACTAGACAGGGTATATGATTGAGGCAAATAGAATAAGGTCTGCAACCATCAGTTTATCAGTGTAGTGGTACAAGTGTACACACAATGTGAATTAGACAAAGAGGAGGATGAAGCATCATCTCTCAGTAGAAGAGAGTGGGAATGGAGCCCAGGGCACAGAGACATGAACAGGACATAGAAGAAGAGCCTTGACCAATAACTTCAGTGGTATAACTTGTACAAGAATGTTAACAGGGCACAGAGGAGTAACCCCACAACATCAGTGCAGAGGTGTAACTGGACCAGGGATGTGAACAGGTCAAAGAAGAGCATTCTCACAGTGTCAGTGTAATGGTGTCATTGAGAAGAGAATTCTAATAAGGTAAAGAGAAGTATCCCTGCCCTATCAATGTGCTGGTGTCACCATCATAACTAGGCAGCAGATGTTGTCTGTGCAAAGAATAGCAGCCCTGCATTAAAATTGTAATAGTGTAACTACATAGGGGATGTGAATAGGACAAAGAGGATGAGGTTTCACTCATGAGTACAGTGATGTGCCTGGTCTGGAATGTGAACATGGCAAATAGAAAAAAGTCCCATGCCCTTGGTATCATGGTGTAACTAAACTAGAAATTTGAACAGGAAAAAGAGGGTGACCCCTGATGCACAGATGGAACTGGATGTGGAATGTGAGAAAGGCAAAAAGGAGGAGGCCTATCACAGAAGTGCAGTGGTGAAACTCCACAGGGGATGTCAACAGAGAAAACAGGAGAATCTTGATACCATTAGTACTGAGGAATAACTGGACAAAACATGTGATTGGGGCAAAGAGAAGATGCCCCAAACCATCAATTCAATGCTGTATCTTGGCAGCATTATATGGATGGGGAAAAGAGAAAGAACACTACACAGTCAGCACAGTGATTACATTGCAAGGTGTGCAGAACAAGAAGTTACATGCCCAAGGCACCAGCACCGTGTTGTAGCTCAGTTGTACCCGGATCAGCAATGTGAACAGGGTCAAGGAAAGCAGTATCATTGCTATGGTGTGAGTGCACAGTGGATCTGAATGAGCAAGTGGGGGGATCATCACATCATTATTACTGTGGTGTGCACAGATAGAGCATGTGAGAGGGGCAAAGAGGAAGGCCATCATCCCTTCAGTGCAGTCATGTAACTGTGTACAGATCTTAACAGGGTAAAGAGGAGAATCCTGACACTGTCAGGGGACTCATTAAATGGAAATGGAAATGTAAGCTGCAAAAATGGGCAGCGCCACATTGTCTACACAGTTGTGTAAGTGAACAGAGTGTGAAGGGAGTAAATATATTCTCCCATCATCAGTGCATGCTGTGCTAGGCCAGAGGATGAAAACAGAGCAGAGATGAGCATATCCATGCTATCATTGCAATAATGTAACCAGGGCAAAGAGGATGAGACCTGACTCATGAATGCAATGATGTAACTGCACAGGGGAAGTAAAAGGCCTGAAAAGGTAGAACCTGCACAACCACTACAGTTGAGTAACTGCACTGAAGCCAAGGATGAGGCAAACAGGAGAAGTGCAGAGCATCAGTGCTATGGTGTAACCTGGGAAAGGATGTGACAACGTAAAGAGGAGTAGCCCTCAAACATCATTGCAGGGGTCCAGTTTGACAGGGGATATTTACAGGCAAATAAGAGGGCCACCAACATTAGTGCAGTGGAGCAACCAGGCAGGGACCTAATGCACTGCTGTGCCTGACTCAGCATTCCTCTCTTTATACTATTTGGGGGCAGCCCAAAGTGACTTTGACACAAGGCAGGGCAATCGCTTCTTGAGTCAATAAGCATTGCAGTGCTGCTCTACAATGCCCCAGGAAAATTACAAGTGTGGCTTCAAGATGCCATGATTTATAGTCACAATGTCATAAAACATTTCATCTGAGAGCCTGGTCTGCTTTCCAGGGTGTGAGGTGACCTGCTGGACACTACCAAGATAGTGGAAAACCAATTCGCCTGCCATCCTGCTCAGAGCCTGTCTTGTGTTTCTCTGCTAATATATATCACTGAAAACTGTGAAAGCAGAGGTCCTAAATCTTCAGACATTGTAATAGTCTAAGATATATACTCTTGTATAAATATGCACAATGGTTACACTAAATGGATGACTAAAGTGGGAACCAAGTCAATGACCCAAATCCAGCCCATAGTTACACTAATGGATGACTAAAGTGGGAACCAAGTCAATGACCCAAATCCAGCCCAGACCATAGTGACTAAATGTCATCATGGACTGTCCAGCGGCCTTGACAAATTGAGTTTCAACAGAAAAAAGAATGGGTCACAAAACAACCTTTGCCACAACTGGTACCTTATTGACAGTTTCTATTGCTATGGCCAGGAAATCAATGGGCTGTGAACACTGAATGATCCTCTTACCCTTGGAAATGATCCCTGCAGGCCAACCTGCAGGATGTTAGAGGAATGGCTTGCAGGAACACACACCAATCCTGGCTGCTTCTCCTTCTGCTCTGGGAGCAGAGGGGCTGCCCTGGATTCAAGATTGTGGACCTGACATTGGAAAGAATCACATTGTTTACCACAGAGCCATCTATTTATCCAGCTGTCTTTCTCATTGCATCACTGTGCTATGCTAAATGTGCCTAAGTTAAAAAAAAATTGAAAAAAATACGCTACATCAATGTTCATGGGTGCAAAGTCTAAACTTTTTAACATATATATCTGGGATGAGGGCATGGTGCTTATGAAAAAAGGACAGGAAGTAAGTTTAGAGAACAGAGTGGGGTAACCTTGAGGCATATAGTAGGGGTTCAGCAAGGCCACCATACACAGTGTGGTTTGTTCACTGCAAAAAGTGCCCAGTCATGGAGGTGTGGGGTTGCTAAAATCCAGCCCATATCCCCCTCTCCAACATCAACACCCCCTGCTGTGTCTGCAGGGTGGGGCACTTCTGTCTGAGTTCTCTTCTCACAAGGGGGAAACATTTTTTATAGAGTTTTATAGAGTGGGGTGGGAGCTTTTCCAGTTAATTTTCCTAAAGACAGCACATTTTCATTCCGAGGAACTATATTTTTCTCATTCATTTCCACAGAGGATAACCTTTTATTTCTTAAAAACACTTCCTGCTGAGAGCCTTTCCTTTTTACAATGAAGCCAGCCACCTACTCACCCAGCCTGACAACAGAGAATGCTTTCTTTAATTCACACAAAGATGCCATGTAAGTTGCTGGTGACCTGGAGTCTGTGGCACCAAGGGGAATTCCTGATGCAAGACAGCTCATTCACTCTGGCCTGTACCAGACTAGTTAATAAACTGAGGCTGTTCTGGGATACCTACATGCTCTACAGGTCCTCACCACTGCCCCTGTCACCCTCACCCTTTCTCCAGAACCTAGTAACTACAGAGTTAGTGCCTCACACAGCTGGTGCCCTGAATCCAGCTCTACCCATTGGTCAGTGTTTGTGATAGAGAAGCTAAAAAGCAATTATTTAGGCAGTTAGTAAGGGTAAAAGAGTTTTGGTGGAACTTCCTTTTAATAAAAAGCAGCCCCCAAATCATTTGTTTTCTAACAGAAAGCAGACTGAAAAATCAAGAACCCATAGTTAAATAAGCTGGACGCTTGCGTGGGTGAATGCCGGCAGCTGCACCAATAGAAAAGGGATACCTGGAAGTCAGGTATATTCAACATGGGGGTTCCCTCTTCCCTTTTCTTTGTTGCCACGTGTGCAGTAAAAAAGCAGGCAGCATGGTGCCAGCCAGGTAAAGACCCAATTTGCATATTAAAGATTAGGGTGTGATGGCCAGCCTCTTTACATGCCATGTAAATGGTGCACCTGGTCCAACCAATCCTCTGCCACCTATGTAAATCAAACAACGCTTCCTCAAGCTCATCTATAAAACCAACCACATCTCACCCCAAACCTGGAAACCCACTCGGGACCCCTTCCTCTGCAGGAGGAAGCTCTTTTCTTTCTTTCGCCTATTAAACTTCTGCTCTTAAACCCACTCCTTGTGTGTCTGCATCTTTGATTTCCTTGGTGTAAGACAATGAACCTTGGGTATTTCCCCAAACAAATGACACTGCTTCATTTGTACCATATTTGTTGTGAAATACTTCTAATAACATCCGTGATGACAGACTCCAGAACCCTCCTCAATTTCCAAGCCCCATGAGCCCCATCCCCATCTCCTAGGATATTTTGTTCACTGGTTGCCATTGGTTTATTCCAGTCTTGGACTCCATGACTTTTTGAATGTCTACAACTACCCTCCCCCTCTCTCTGAGTTCCTAAGCCTCAGCCATCCCTGAGAGGTGGCCAAGGCAGTTGTCCAAAAGAGGGCCTGCCAGGCTGCTAAAGAAACACTGCTGATAACTAACCTGCACATTGTGCACATGTACCCTAAAACTTAAAGTATAATAAAAAAAAAAAACACTGCTGAAGAAACCAGCCTCTCCCTGAAAGACTATGCTATCTGTGAGGAGCTATGAGAAAAAGTAAGTCTCAAAGGAAGAGAACATAGTTCAGGTCTTAATGAACGGAGATCATCACTCTTTTCAGAAGCATGCTACCAGCAGCCCTTTTACCTTGTCGATGTATCACTGCCCTGCTGAGTCTAAATGAGATCTTCCCTCTGTACCTGAGAACGTGATTCTTACACTTTGCTGCTGACCACAAGGCGATTCTTGGATGGGGCTTTGGTTTTAGAGCAATTTACTATGATTTGGATATATTAAGAATTTGGTTTGTTGTGATCACTCAGCTACTGGCTTCTGTGCACTGCTCTCCTCTCTTGTTGCAACACAGTTCTTTGTAAATCACACCTAATTTTAAATCCTGAGCATATGGTCTGTTTTGACAACAAGATTAGCCTAAAAGCTGAAAAAAGAAACATTCCCCAGATTCCTTTTATATCCAACAACCATCTGTGGTGGGAAGAAAAGGTAAAGACATTTCCAAATCTGGGTAGAGAATCTCGGACACAAAGACAAAAGCTGGCATGGCTCCTCATCCTCCTACTACGAGCTGTCCTCACCAAGATCCTCAGGCCTTGACTATCTCTCAGTGCTGCATTAGTGAGAATAGCTGTTGATCTCTCCACTCCCAGGCCCTCTGAAATAGCAGCCACTAACATATGTATGGACTCTTCTGCTGAAATCTGTCCTGGCTGCTTATAGCAGACTCTTTTGGTGCTCCACCCCTATCCTTTGGTGCCTTACCACTGCAGTGCAAGCTCTGGAACTTCCAGCTGCCTGAGGACTTTTCTTGACAACCAAAACCCACCCTGCCTATGCAGGCCAGCTGTGAGAACCAGAAAATTAATGTCCTGGAAAGCAGCCTTCAGCCAATGACTGATGGAAATTGGTGTCTAAACAGCCTCAGTCCCTTGAGCCTGAGAAGAGATAATTCTGAGGTGTGACAAAGACTCTCCCAATCAAACTTTGGTCAGGCTCCTCTGAGCTTTCTCTTTTTGACTAGGCCTCAGTTTTGGGCTTCATGTCCTTCCTTGTAGAATCTAGTTTTAGCAAGAATCCAGTTTTAGGAAGAACCCTGCTAAGTCAGTTAAGAAAGAATCCTTACTCTCTATATCTGACCACCCTCAATATCTGATCAAATTCCTCATCCCCTACTCTTGATATCTGATCACCTGGCCTATCTTCAGCAAGAATCCTGTTAAATTTGTTTAGCCATAATCCTTCTTTCCCCTTGACATTTCCTCTTGGTAATTTTCAATCCACTAACCCCCATCCCTTTACTTGGTTAAAAATTCCCACTTGTCCATGTTGTATTCAGAATTGAGCCTGGTTCTACACTGAGATCTCTTTTCCTCTACTTACAATAGTTTTTTTTAATAAAATTTATCTTCACCACTTGAACTTCTACCCATCTCTGGATTTTCTAAACAGGTGGATGCATTACACTGATTCCCAGAGTTCCTCAGTGGGATTGAGCTCAACTTGTTGGATATTACACCTCTTGGTGGATGCTTTCCCTTCTCCATCTCTCTCCCAACTCCTCTGTTTCATTGCATTACCCCCACCCCAAATATAGCTACAGTACATGAATCTTGTTTCAGGTCTCCTTCTGGGGAATCCCAATACAGACACTGCTTCAGCATTCTCATCCTGTGTTAGATAACTGGCCCCACCAGTCATTAGCACCAGCATCCCACAGACTTGATATCAGAGAGATTTACTGAAACAAGACTGGAATCCCATGTCCTAGGTCTTTCTCACATGGGGTGAAGTAATAGGATGATGCTTTTCTAGAACTACTCCTGCTCTTACATGCCCAGCACAGACAGCATTTATGTTTTCTAGGCCTGTTAGAGTGACCACAGTATTACAGGTGTTTATTTCTCTCACCTACTGCATAGTGCAGGAATAAGTTCACTCAAAAATGGCTAACTGAAGGAGGTAGGTTCCTTGTTCTATATGTGCAACAATCCTGATAGCCCCATATCTGTGAAGGGCACATGCTAAATTATCCCATCAAAATGCAGGAGTGTTGACCCTTAAGTATTTCTTATTGCAGAATGTCAGTCACACTACTCCAAGACTTCCTCAAATGATTGCTCTTTTCCAGCTCACTGATATCCATATACAAATTGAACACGACCAGACAGACACTTCTTTTTCACCAGTGCTTTTTTTTGCAACATTTTCATGTCTCCTGACAAACTTGAGTATTCTTTAAAAGACAGACTATGAAACACTACTTAATCAGAAATAAACTTATTTTTATACTTGCCTACATTTCCTAATGACTCCCCTTTTTTCCTTTAAGTGACCTGTTACTTCTTCACCCAAAACTTTCACCATAGTATTCAGTTTTATTATAATTATAGATACAACCAATCAATACTATAGAACAATTTCCAGACTTTAGATTTTAAAAACAATCCACAAAAAATCAATACTTAACCCGATAGAAACACTTTTGTTTTACATTAATTGACAACTATCAAAGATTTGGGATATATGAGGAAATCTAGAATTTTTCAAGTAAGGTTCATTTATTTACATATTCATTGTAGAAAGATTTCTTATGTACTTACTATGCATCAGACACTGCTTAAGGTATTTGTGATCCACAGACTTAATTCCCTTTGAGAAGTTTATAATCTAGGAGGAGAGTTGGACATTGATAAAGAACTTCAAGCTTCCATCATAACCCATTTTAGAAATTAGAGAAATAAAGTTAAAACCTTAACAAAATGAAAGATCCTTAATGTTCTACTCAAAAAACAACATGACCTTTTCAAATGTATGTTATTGGCATATATTTGGGAGGAAAATTATTAAATCATTTTTATTAAAAAGATTTCTTTAAAAAAACAAAAATAGGTTAAAATTTAAATTATTTTAAACATTTGCAGTGCTTAATCATATTTTTAGTAATTATTCAGACTTGACTTTCTATATGTAAATGATTTCCACACATACCTTCAGAAGGTATATTATGCACTTCTACTTCAAAGGTTTTATTTTGATTAATTTTTTGAATTTTGATAATTTTTCTCAGGGAATTTTACATGGGAATAACCCATACATAATTATTTCTGTTGCATCTGCACACGACTTGATGTAGAATTATTTAATCACACACAGTCTTTTCCCCTTAATGTATTATATGTTTTCCTTTTGTATCCTGCTACGCTGTTGCATTCAAGAGAAAATTGATTTTGTATCTTTGTAGATAATATTTTCTTTTTCTTCCTGAAAATTCATAATATTCTTTATCTTTGAAATTCAAAATGTTAGCCATTCACATCCAGGTACTGGACAATTTGTATTAACTCTGCTTTGACCATAACAAGACCTTTTCTTGGGAAGATTAACATTTTTTTCAGCTCAAGAAAACATTATTTTCTTCTGTAACTATTATTTCTCTTTCTTTTTTTCTAGAGTTTTCTTTCAGCCATGAGAATGATCCATATATTGGATCTCCATTATTTGTCTTTAATATCCATCTACTTTTCTTAGGCTGCAACTATGCAGATTTTATGATAAATGTATTTATGTTTTGAATGAATAGTCACGTGCATACTATAAAGATAGAGATGGTATATCACTACTAGATGAAATTCCTTGCCTTCCTTCATGATTTCTTCAGTGCTTTCTCAGTGGATAAACGGTTTTCTCAAAAGTATAACTCCTCCAAGTATAGTTTTTGTCCTGGTAGAAACTATTGCACCCATAACCAGTTCATGTGATGATCAATCATCTTCCCCTTCCATGTAACATACAGTCCTAGGAAAATTTGTGCAAGTCAGACAGAGAGGGGAATTTTTCAATTCTTCTTATTTCATAGAACTGTGGGGGTGCCAAATTTCTTTTGATATGAGAATTTAAGTTGCCTCTGATGGAGATGATCACTCATAAAACTACTGTAGGGATTAAATGAGTTAATGAATGTAAAATGCCTAGGACAGAGCCTGAGTCCTGATCAGAGAGCTGCACTGTCAGAAACTGGAATCTCCATTTTTCTCTGCTGGCAGAACTTAGTGGGAAGACAGGGTGGAGGCCTTGATGACTGTGAAGTCAGAGAAATCAGAGCATGATTCACAGTGGTCATGGCTTTGGCCAGCAGGGTGATGGCCAGATAGCCTGGGGTCCCATCTCCATGAAGTCACTTACTGTCTGTATGCCCCTAGGGAAGTTAATTTACCTGTCTGGGCCTCTCACATCTTGAGGTTGCAGATGGACTTGCACCACAACCACATTCCTTATTCTTGGGTTCCTGTGGTTCTGCATGCTCCTCCATGAGTACTCCCTACCTCTCAGCCCATTACCTCTATCCTGCCCAGGCAGAAGAACAGTGACTCTAGCAAGGAGCACAGAAAGATAACCCTGTGGAAGCTGTGACTGCCTGGGCACATGAACTATATCACCCAGGCATTCCAATTGTGGAGAACCCAGATAACAGTAAAGGTGTGTGCATAAGCAAAGGAGCGTCATGTGTCATGTCAGATGCAGACATATAGGACTGCCATTGGTGTGAGAATATGCTTGGGCTCTGGCCTTGTGATCTGGCTTAGAGTTCATCTGGCTGCTGCAAAAATTAATTAAATTGAAAATTAATAAAAAGTTAATATGTATCATTATTTTGAACAGTTTTATATTTACAGAATAATTGAGTAGAAAGTAGTTCCTATAAATTCTCTCTTATCTTCCCCAGTTTCCCCTATGATTAACATCACACAATAGTGTAGTACATTGTTAAAATTGATGAGCCAATATTGGTACATCATTATTAACTAAATCCATAGTTTACATTAAGGTTTACTCTTTGTGTTATAAATTACATGGGTTTTGACAGCTGTATAGTGGCATGTATCTACCATCGTAATGTCAAACATAATAAATTCGCTGTCCTAAATATCTCCTGTGCTCCACCTATCCATGTTTCACCCCAACCCCTGGAAACTATTGATTTTTTTTACTGTCTCCACAGTTTTGCCTTTCCCAGAATGCCATGAAGTATTTGTTCTTTTCAGATTGGCTTATTTCATTTAGCAATATGCATTTAAGTTCCTCCATGTCTTTTCCTGGCTTGATAGGTTATTTTATTTTGTCACTGATTAGTATTCCATTGTGTGGATGTACTACAGTTTGTTTATCTATTCACTTATTGAAAGACATCTTGAAAACTACTAAGTTTTGAAAATTATGTATATGGCTGCTTTAAACATTCATATGCAAGTTTTCGTATAGATATAAGTTTTCAAATCATTTGGGTAAATGCAAAAAATGCAATTAAATTGCTGGATAATATGGTAAGAATATATACATATGTGCATATATATACACATATGCATATACACATGTATATACACAGGTATATATACATATGTATATATACATATCTAGATAGATGATAGCTAGATAGACAGTGTATTGCTCTGTCACCCAGGCTAGACTGCAGTGGCGTGATCTCGGCTCATTGCAATCTCTGTCTCCCAGGCTCAAGTGATCCTCCCACCTCAGCCTCCTGAGTAGCTGGGACGACAGGCATGCACCGGCTAATTTTTGTATTTTTTATGGACATGGGGTTTCTCCATGTCGTCCAGGCTGGTTTTGACCTCCTGGAGTCAAGCGATCTGCCCACCTCAGCCTCCCAAAGTGCTGGGATTACAGGCATGAGTCACCGCACCTGGCCTGTAAGAATATATTTAACTTTGTATGAAACTGCCAAATTCTCTTCCAAAGTAGCTATTCTATTTTGCATTACCACCAGCAATGAATGAGATTTCACGTTGGCCCACATTCTCATCCACATTTAGTATTAGTGTTTTGGATTTTAGCCATTTTTATAGGTGTGTAGTGATATTTTTAGACAAAAAGGGATGTATACATTCAATGCAACTTTTATCAAAATCCCAATGCCTTATTTTTTTAAGAAATGGAAAAGTTGATCCTCAAATTCATATGCTATTGCAATTGACCCAGAATAGACAAGCAGAAGAATAAATTTGGAGGACTCATGCTTCTTGATGTTAAAACTTATTACAAAGCTATAATTAAAACAGTATGTTATTGGAATAAATATAAACATAATGATTAATATAATAGAATTAAGAATTTTGAAATTAACTCATACATTTTGATTTTCCACTAGGATGCCAACATCATTCAATGGGGAAAGAATAGTATCTTCAACAAATTTTATTAAGACAAATGCATGTCCACATGTAAAACAATGTAGTTGGGCCCTTATGGCACACTATATATATAAAACTAATTCAAAATGAGTCAAAGACCTAAGTATAAGAGCTAAAATTATAAAAATCCTTGAAGAAAACAAGGATAAATTTTTATGATCTCGGGTTTGGCAATAATTCTTTAAATATGCCACCAAAAATACAAGCAACAAAAGAAAACAAAGTCAATACATTTGATCTCATGAAAATTCCAAACTTTTCCCATCAAAGTACATTATCTAGAGAATTAAAAGACAACTCACAGAATAGGAGAAAATGTTTGCAAATCATATGTCTGATAAGAGACTAATATGCAGAATATATGAAGAACTCATAACTCAATAAGACAAATAACTCAGTGAAAAAAAAATGAACAAATGACTTGAATATAAATTTATCCAAAGAAGATATACAATTGTCAAATAAGCACATGTAAAGATGCATTAGTCATTAGATAAGTACAAATTAAAACCACCACATACCATTTCATATCCACTAGGTGGCTGTAATTTTTTTACATAAAGGTAAAATAATGAGTGTTGACAAGAATGTGAAAACATTAGGACCTACACACATTGCTGGTGGCAATATAAAATAGTGGAACCACTATGGAAAATGGTTTGGAGATTCCTCAAAATGTTAAACACAGAATTCCAATAAGACACAGCAATTCTATCCCTGGTTACATATGACCTAAGTAATTTAAAACAAGTGTTAAACATTTGAACAAGGATTTTTACAGCAGCAGTATTCACAATAGCCAAAGTGGAAACAACCAGAATGTTCAACCAATGAATATGTTGTACACATGTAATGGAATATTATTCAGCCACAAAAGGTAATATTGATACATGCTACAACATGGACTAAACTTGGAAACATTATGCTAAGAAAGAAATCAGACACATGAGGCCACATATTGTATTATTCCATTACTGTGAAATATCCAGTATAGGCAAATATGTAGAGACAGAAAGCAGATCAGTGGTTGCTAGAGGCTGGGAGAAGAGGGCAATAGGAATGACTACCTAATTGCTTTGAGGTTTTTTTGGGGGCAATGATTATGTTTATTGGAACTAAATAGTGATGACAGTTGTAAAATATTGGGAATGCACTAAATCACACTGAATTGTGCATTTTAAAATAGTTAAAATGATAAAATTTATGTTATAGGTTGCTATAGTTTGAATATATACATCCTTTCAAAATTCGTATGTTGGAACCTAATGCCCAATGTGATAATATTAACCGGTGGGGCCTTGGAAAGTGATTATGTCATGAGCACTCCACTCTCACAAATGGGATTAGTGCTCTTTTAAAAGAGGTTAAAGTGAATGCC